>NC_000005.10:178318900-178469345 GCF_000001405.40 Homo sapiens | reverse complement strand
GCAGGAGCCTGCTCACTGCGCAGTGTCCCAGGGGTAACAAGCTCCTGCCTAATCATGTTCAAAGTTAGGAATTCGTCCCCTCCTAGGTATACCCCCAAAGGAAGAACACGGAGACCCAGACAGGTATTTGTACACCTAGGTTCAGGGCAGCATTGTTCACAGTAGCCAAAAGGTAGGAGCAACCCACGTGTTTATCAGAATGGATAGACACAATGTGGCCTGTCCACACAACAGGATGCGGTTCAGCTTTCAGACGGAAGGAGATTCTGACACGTGCTGCAACATGGACGGACCTTGAGGACATGGTGCTGAGTGAAATAAGCCACACACAGAAGGACAAACACGATATGATTCCACTTATGTGAGGCACCCAGTCATCAAATTCATAGAGACGGAAACCAGGATGGTGGGTGCCACAGGCTGGGGGGAGTGGGGAGTTGGTGTTTAATGGGTGCAGAGTTTCAGCAGGGGAAGATGAAAACGTCCTGGAGGTGGAGGGTGCTGATGGCTGCACAGCAGTGTGAATGCACCTGATGCACTGAGCTGTACCCGTAAAAATGGTGAAGATGGGAAATTGTATGTTATGCATATTTTACCACAATACTTTTTTTAATTTGAAAAGTTGGGAATTTATAAATTAAATGTGGGGTCCTGTGCCCCAGAACACAGTTGAGGAGAGCTGCAGGCTCCGTGACCTCGGACCCGGCCCTTCCCTCCAGGCTGCCTGGGGGGACTCGAGGGGAGGGGAAGCTGCTCTGCGTGTGGCCTGCAGCCTGAGGTCAGCTCAGAGGGACGGGGCCGGGTGAGGCCTGGGTGTGAGCAGATGAGGGAGGCAGGGTGAGGATGAAACGAAATAATCATCTCGTGCCCTGCAGGCAGTGTCTAGCCCACAGGAGACGGAGCCGTGGTTGTTGATATTCTTGCATTCACCATCATCACACTGACCCCTAGCCCAGTCCATCGCCCTTTGACCCACGTGCTGGCTTCCATCCCCTCCCTGTCTTGCACCTCCGTGTTCTCTCTCACCCTCTGGCCTATTAATGAGCTTGGATTTAGACCTTCCCGATCTTCCTGCAGGGGCCCTCTGCTCGACACTGGCGGCTTGCCGTGGCTTCTGGCTGGAGTCTGGGTGGGGTCTGGGTGGGGTCTGGGTGGGTGTGTTCATCCTCCGTGAACACACAAGCACACCCCAAAGCCGGCGCTCTCTTTCTGGCACTCAGATTTCTCACCATCTTTTCCAGCTATGGAAACCACTCCCAACATAAGGAACACACCGCCCCAGAGGCTGTTAGGTGATGCGTGGGTGGGATATTAAATACGCCTGTCCGCTCCAGAGAGCATCGCCGCCTTCCAGTTCCTTCTCAGTGGTGTCAGGAGAAAGGCTCCTGTTGGGGCCCGTGTGTCGCTAACGCCTCTGCAGCGCCTGCAGTTTCCCTTTGTCACTAGCATGGAAGGCAGGCCTCGGACTCCAGCCTGCTGCAGTATCCGCTTATAATTTCATAACTTCCCTTCTTTGTATTTATTTTTAGAGTTTCTTTCTATTTTTGGCAAGTGGAACTGGTTTTTTGTTTACCATAGTGTATAATGTTTACTTTAAAAATAACTTTTAAAAATGAGTCAATTAAAAAGAATTAAATCAGTACTAGGAGAAGAGGTCTGTGGCTCTGGCAGAAATCACGAAGCGGGTGTGCCGTGGGGTGGGGATTTGGCAACACACAGCTGCAAGCTTGAGAGACCTAGAGAATTTCCACACATCCTTCAAACCCTCGCACAATGGGGACCTCCTCTCTGTGGTTCCCTCCGACTACCGCCCCCTAAACAAGACAACACACATAGCTATTAGAGCACAGATTGCACTCTACACAAACTGCCTCCGTGTAGTCCGGCTAAAGAACACACTTCCTAAGGCAGGGAGTGGGGTAGGGTCACCCTGCATCACCAGCCCCCAGCTTAGCGTGGCCCAGAGCAGAGTCAGGGAGCGTTTGTCACTTAGAGGCTGCTGGCCAAGGGGGTGGAAGGGTCTCCACCAGGGGCAGGGAAGGGCAAGACCCACACATTTCTACAAGGAGAGGTCAGCGTCCCAGACCTTCCCAAAGGCCTCAGTGGTTCAGGCAGCAGAAGTTCCTGTTCCTGTCCCTAAAGATGTCAGGTCAGAAAAAGAATACTGAGCTAGCTCCCTGTGCAAGTGAGGGGACATAAAAGAAGGACCCCAGCTCAGGGTTCAGTCCACATGTCTCAACTCACCTTCTCACGAGTTTCTCCAACTTAACCTCGTCGTAACAGCAGTTGTATGTGCTGCCACGGCATTTTACGTATATATATACATATAATGTCACTTATTCTCCAAAATAAATCAACAACACAGGGACTATTATCCCCATTTTACAGCTGGGGAAACTGAGGCTGTGGCTTCCCCTGCAGTCACACAGCTAGGCTAGGGACACAAATCGACATCTCCTAACTCCAGTATCCATTCTGCTGCCTTCCTCGGACTTCCGTGTGCCCAGCTGACCCCCAGACGTGGCTGTCCTTCCACCTGGCCAGCCTGGCACGGCCAGAGCTGCTCCAACAGTCCTTCCCAGCTGGGCTGGAAATGTAATGGATCCCATACAGACACCCATTTGGCTCCAGATGAATGGTAACCATGGCTCAGGTGTTTTCCAGCATGGCCAAGGGGCTGCAGGCTGCAGGGCCATCCCCCGCAGCAGCAGGGACACAGGAAACAGCAATACGTGGGTCCCTGGACTGGTGAGACCCAGAACCTGGGGCCTCTGACATCAGGGCTCAAGGTGAGGGTGCTGCCTCACATCCTGTTCCTCTGGCCCCTGGAAAGTAGTAAGGCCAGGGATGCGCAGACCTGTCTCAGTTTCCCGTAGCTGAGTTTGAGAGCTGGGACCTTCCAGCTTAGGAAGCCTTAGAATCAACACAGGACGAAAGGTCCAGGCTTGCTTTTGTGACGGCTTTAAGAAAAAAGAACTTGACTTTTTCAAAACAAGCTACTATGTCAACAGCAATGGTGACAACTACCATTGCTACTACCAGTGGCTAGCAAGCGCTGCTCTGTGCTCTGCAGATGCATCAAATCCTCACCACCCCCACAGGTCCTGTCAATGCCCCCATTTTAAAGATGTGGAAGTGGAGGCCGAGAGGAGGGAGGAGGCTGGAGAGGCATTTAGAAGGCCTCCAACACCGGCGAAGATGGGAGTGAGTTTGCGTTGCAATGCCTCTGAGGCCCACGGCTTGGAGGCCGATGTGTGTCTCCCAAGATGAGATTCATGGGGGTCGTTCACCAGGATGGGATTCAGGAAAGAGGTGGCGCAGAGGGGAGACTGAGGGACCAGGGTGATGTGGACACGATGGCCTTGAGGTGCACTCACCCCGAGGCTCTACTGTGTTTTGTGTCCTGAAGTGTGCGCTGAGTTAGACTCGCCATCCGGAGCAGGCAGGAAGCCAGGCAAGCGGCGAGTCCACACCACCGCTGGTTGGTACTGACCACCCCACATCTCCCTGCCCCTGCACGCCAGTCCCTCAGAGGACTCACTGCTGTTGAATCCCCAGGACAGTCTACTTCTTTACCGTGTGTAGCACGATCACTCTGCCTCCCCATCTCGTGAGGACGTGACCGCCACCCCGCGGGGACTTTGCTCTTCTGTTCACTGCTGCGTTCCCGACACCAAAGGGCTCAGAGCCTGCTAGAATATTCTAGAGAGGGGCAGAAAGCACGCTGAGGCCAGAGTGGGCCTCTTCCTATTTCAGGCTCTGAAAGTGGCCCAGTCTTGCCCTGGGTGCTGTGGGCCTGTCCACCAGGAGGGCCTCCTCGAGGCTGCACAGCAGGCTTGCTCGGAGGCCCATGTCAGAGGGGTTATCTGCCTCTGTGTGAAGAATGCTTTTAAACCCATGCCTGGGTTCCTGACCTTCTGAGAGAGAAAACAGATGCACCATTTAACCCTCCTTGCTCCAGAGGAGCCCAGCATCTCCAGTTTTAGGGAGTCCGGTCACGCTAAAGAATGTCAGGCTTTTGCACCCTAGGGGTTAACGACAGCCTGGTGTTCTAAGTCCCAGAGCTCGCTGCAGGATCTCCGAACCCCCAGCCTCTGAAGCTTTCACCTGTCAGCGTTCTGATTAACAACTGGAAGGCCGACCCCTGTTTTCTGATGGGTTCCGTGTACACGCTGTGCAAGGCTGTGAAGGTGGAAATGCTATTTTCTTTTGCCACTGGGAGGTCAGGAGCACTTAATAAGACCCCTGGCCCCACCTGGCTGGGCTTTGGATATGATTTTTAAATCAAGTGAACTATTTTTAGGGCCCTACTCAAAGCTACCTCTTCATCCATGTTAATGATCATGCATCAAAACCGTGTTGTCATTTACAAGGCGTTGTTCCATAGGCAGCAGTGGCATTCTGGAAGGAGACTGAGCTTAGAGCTGAAGACTTCCGTTCAAGCACAGAGCCACTGTGTGACCTTGGGCAACTGAGTTAACCTCTCTAAGCGCTGCTTCCTCATCTACAGAACTCTGCCACATGGAATTGTTATAAGGCTGAGGCCTCACGGGATCTGAGAGCTACACCCAACATCTGGGGCAGTTTTGTTTGGCTTGCAGTGTCTTAAAGCATTTGAATCATTAACCATTTAAAAATTTAGGTGCCCTTTAAAAATCCAGCTTTTTCTATTGTTTAATGGTGAAGTGGGGAAGCTCTAGCAGCACGGAGCCGGCTTTCCTGCACTTCCACGTCAGGGCTGAGTGACGGCCGCAGCCTTCACAGGTAACCTGGGGCTGGACCTTACGAATAGCAACGTGCTTGTAATCATGTGTGTTACACCAGGAAGAAGCTATTTATTGTGTCTAAGTGGGGTACGTGCACATTGAAACCACTCAAGTGACCATCAGCGGCTGAATGGATAAAGAAAATGTGGTATATGCATATGATGGAATAGTATTGAGCCCCTAAAAGGAAGAAAATTCTGATGCATGCTCCAACAGGGATGAACCTGGAGGATATCATGCTAAGTGAAATAAGCCAGACACAAAAGGATACATACTGCACGATTTTACGCATAGGAGGTCCCTAGAGTAGTGAAATTCATAGAGAAAGTAGAGTGGTGGGTGTGGGCTGTGGGAGTGCCGAATCGGGAGTTAGTGTTTAATGGGTATAGCATTTCAGTTTGGGAAGATGAAAGAGCTCTGGCAGTCGACGTGGTGATGGCCACAAGGTATCGCGGATGCACTTAATGCCGCTGAGCTGTACGCTTAAACGTAGTTAAGATGGTACATTTTGTGTTATGTGTATGTTACGGCAGTAAAAGGGGGTAGGTGAACAGCTCCTGCCAACTGGTGTTGGGGAGGCGGCAGATTTCTCCCCATGAGCCTGTGGTTGTGCTCACGCCCGGCCGGGAGGCCCACAACAAGAGGTTCGTTCTGCAGCCTGAGGTCTCTGCACGCCCAGGCTGGTTTCTGAAGAGCAGCAGGCCTCCTGGTATTTACGCTGCATGGACCAGGCAGGCCAAAGGGCTCATACCTGCACAGTGTCCGCAGCCACAAAGGGAGGACCAGATGTTTGAGCTCTTCCTTGTTTATAAACAAAACGTCCGTTCCCATCCAGACCCCCTGTGTTTACACCGCGGCAGGGCTGGGGGCCACCGTGCACATTTGGAAAGCATCCTTGGGGAAGCCTGTGTCCCGCTCGCCTCTCAGCTGTGTGACGGAGTGAGTTCATCAACTTCTTCTCCCCTGGCATCCTCATCGGCAAAGCAGAGACACTAACAATACCTGCCTCATAGGTTGGGGTCCCAGTGGCGGTTTCCAAAGTGCGGGGGACAAGGTGTGGCATGCAGGGAGTGCTCCTATTATCGTGATTATTGTGGTTTTTCCTGCATCTTTTCCTGCCCTTTCCTCCCATCCTACTCCCACACCTTTCCAGACCCGGTAACAGTTTCACTCCACCTCACGGCCTCAGCCCAGGAAGAGAATACCAAATCCACATACATCTTGACCTTTCTCAGAAAAGAAACTTATTTCCACACATCTGATGAAAAGCAGTTTTCTGAAACACTTAAAATTCAAAAATGCTTATTTATTTTCTGGAAAGAATAGAAAGAAATCCTTAATTTACTTGCATCTTACCTAGCCTGAAGTAAAAACGGTGCTTGTAGCTTAAGGGTATGCAGCTCTCAAGATAACTGGAATCTTTGGAGCAAAAAAGCCCATCCGTGCTGCTGAAGTTCAGATGCACTTAAAAAAATAGTTCCCTTTGTGTCGCTGCGCGGTGAGGCGTGAAATTGCACCTAACCATCTGCTGACGTGGCCTTTGCACATTCCAGCCCTTGCAACCTTTGGGTAAGGTACATGGTGCCAGCCTTCAGCTGGTTCTGCTTTGCTAATTATTCCAAATAAAGAGCAAACGCCGCCTTCCTGTTTCTCTCCTCCTCGTTCCGCAGTCATCTGCTGTCCGTAAATTTTCACCAAGTTTCACACCAGTTTCCATTTTGGCTCCAGCTCTGAAGACGGAACCATGGGGACATTTGTTAATGAAAAATCTGGGAAATTTGATGTGGGAAACGTTCTTTTGCTACAGGCATCTAATTGTTGAGAGGATCTGACTCGTAATTTGTAGTTAAATTTGTTAAATCCCGGAAGGTTTTGATTTTTTTGTTTTTGTTGTTTCAGTAATGCAGAGTCAAAATTAAGTTAAAAAATTGTTCTACCTTTGTATTTGGCCTGGTCGTGCATTTTCATCAGCTGTTATGGATGGAGGATACTGAATAGCACAACAATAGTAATTTGGGGATTACTCAATGGGGGTGATTTATAGAAACTCGAAGCTCTTAACATAATGTTTTGTTAAAAATGCTTCCTCTTGTTGTGCCTGATTTAATACAGATTCTTCTCTTTTGTTCTTTATTCCTTTAAATGACTGAAGTAAGTTAAATGCATACAGGTTTATCTTAGCCTCAAATGCAAAGATAAAAGGAATCAATATGAAAAGCACCCTATAAGTTACATCAGTGACAGAAGAATGTTGAATTTTCATTACTGACCAGAGTAAATGCCTCAGCTGCTTTTGTTTAAAAGCTGTGTTGGGGATTGGGCCTGATTGCTGGGTGGGGGGGAACCTCTTGGAGACTCCATGTCATCTGTGAAATGACAGTAATAAAACCAGAGTTAAATTATGTGGAAATGTTTACCATGCATGGCACAGAGGAAATGTTGAGTAGATGGCTACTTATATCACAAGCCCCTCCTCCCATCCTTCCAAAATGCTTAATAAGCTCCTACTATGAGCCAGCAGCTGTGCTGGGTGCCAAGAACACAGTGCTGTGCAAACTCACCAACTCAAAACCAATTTGCAGTGCACCGTCTGATTGCCTGGGCAGGAACTTTCGCGGCAGCTCCTTGAAGTACCACAACTCATCCGCCTCTTCCCTGACATTTCCTTCTGTTCTTGAACTTGTGTAGAATTCATTGTCTGTGTTCTCCAATTTGCACCCCTATATTTTCCTCCAACATGCCATTGCTGTCTTGAACCCCTGTTATTTCGAATAGGATAAAAAACCCTACCAGTGTCCTCAATATGTACGGAGAACATGTTGTGTGCTTGCCAAGACTTCATTTTATCCTCTCACAAACTCCCTGTTAGGTGAATATGGTTCTCTACCTTGTATTACAGGTGAGGAGACTGAGGCAAATTGCCCAAGGCCGTGAGCCAGCAGGAGCTTCTGTTTGTAAGGACTGTTGCATGCTGGCTACTCCGGTCTCTCCAAGTAGACAAATCATTTAAAATACCCTCAAAGCATTCCCACAGTTATCTAAGCTATTAAAAAATGGTTTGTACTTTCAGAGGGCATTGCCTGCTCACCATGATGCCGAATAGGCCCTCCTTGGGTGGACTCTCCCTGTGGCTAACCAGGCCCAGCGACTGCTAGAGCCCAGTTTGAGAAAGCTAGAGGCACTGGGGATGGCAGGTCCCTTGGCCTGACTCTACTCAGCTCCTCTTCCAGGCCTGTGGGTGATGGGCCTGTCTTTGCCGCGGCTGCCCCTTGTGGTGGAAACAGCCATTACAGCTAGGAGAGGTCACCAGGACATGGCCAGGCTGGACTCGTGGCGGTGGCCAGCCTGGGCACACACTGATGCTCCTGTGGAGAGTCCTTGTGGCCACAAGGTTGGGAGAAGTGACTTGTTCTTGAGGGGCGAAGCAGCACGAGGAATTCGGCTCCTGGGCTGCAGCCAGTTCCCATCTCTGCACAATTTCGTGGAAGTCCCCTGGTCCTGCTGCCAAAAATGTAAAGTGGCTTGTTTCTGTTCCCCAACCTGCCTTAGAGGGCAGCTCTCTTAAAGGGCTGCCATCCGACTTTCCCATGGGAGTTTATGCTATTTATTTCTTTACGTTTAAAAAAAATGGGGGCATGAGCTGAGACCCCCACAACTTGAATGTTATAGAATAGGGGAAGGGGCAATCTTGGGTGTCTCTCTTCCCTCCCGCACTGACTGAAGACCACAGGGCAGCATGGTCTGGGGCTTGTTTTTTTATTTTTGTCCATATATCCTAGCAACATACGGCTGGTAAGACCTTTTATAAAATGTGGAGGCCAAAAAATGTCCATGCATGCCAGGGGAACAGGCATAAGATAAGAAAAGCAGGGCAAAGGGATTCCGTGGATTTTCACTGGAAGCAAAAGGCAGCCAGCTAGGGTGGGATACTTGTCAGACTGCATGGAAAGCATCTGGGAAGCCGAGGCTGCTCAACAGTGGGAACCTGAAAGCTGTTTTCCCGTCTAGAAGAGGAGAGAGCCACACCAGGATTTGGACATCTTTTACTATTTCGCCCTCTCACAGAAGCTCTTCTGAGAGCCCAGATGATGTTTCCCAGTTTGGATGAACAGGTTATTAGGATTATTTTCTCCACTTGACAGAGCTTTCCTTACAGATCCCAGCAGCCCACCTGGCACTGCCCTGTCTCGGTGGCTAGACGGCTGGTCCATCCTACTGGGATGGGCAGTGCCATGCTCATCTTTGCCAAGGGCTTTTTTCTTTGTGGTTATTTTCCCCTTGGGGTAAAGAACTGTGGGTGCCATCTGTCTGTGCCTGGGGAAGGTGCTTCTGTAGTAGGTCTGCTGTGAATTGTTTAGTTGATAAAATCTGGGGGTTCTGCATGGCAAATCCTCTGAGTTCTTGGCTGTTCAGGAGACTGTTGGAAGTGATTAGGAAAAGCAGAAATAAACACACTATGAACATCACAGCTGGGCTTTCCCTAACAAATCCCAGGTTCGATGCTTTTAAAAATCTATTTCTATAATTATAAACTAAGGCATACACATAATAGAAAACAGAAAATATAAAGAAGGAGATTTTAAAAACACCCATTATACCACCATAAAGAGATAACAGTTGTTATTAACATCGTATTGAATTTTCTTCTTTTGGCTTCAAAATTGTATGTGTGCGTATAACAAGACAGAACACTCTCTATTAGTTTTGTAGCTTTTTTCCATCCTGGCCATATCATGAACATTTCTCCATGTCATTAAATTGTTTAGGGAAAAAAATCTTATTTGAAATGTCTTCTAACCCTTTTTATATTAATTTTTTGAGACAGCATCTTGCTTTGTCACCCAGGCTGTAATGCAGTGACACAATCTCAGCTCACTGCAACCTCCAACTCCTGGGTTCAAGCGATTCTCCTGCCTCAGCCTCCCAAGTAGCTGGGATTATAGGTGCACGCCACCACGCCCGACTAAGTTTTGTATTTTTAGTAGAAATGAGGTTTCACCACGTTGTCCAGGCTGGTCTCAAACTCCTGACCTCAGGTGATCCACCTGCCTTGGCCTCCCAAAGTGCTGAGATTACAGGTGTGAGCCACTGCCCCCGGGCCCCCTTTTTATTATGGAAAAATTTCAAACACTGTACGAAAGTAGAATGATGTGAGCCCCACATACCAGTCACCTGGTTTCTGCAATTACTAAATCACAATTCTTCTTGTTTCATATGTAAACATCTTGTTTCCCACCTATTAGCCACCTGGGTAATTTGGAAGCAAATTATAGACATGTTTATTGTTTTGGCAAATATTTAGTATAAATATTTAAAAGTCAAAGGCATTTTAAAAAATCACCAAAATACCATTTATTACACGTAAACAAATTAAAAATTAACAAATATTTAATTTCCAATAGCAATCCAGTTGATGTGCAAGTTCCCCAACTGTTTCATGATTCTTTGGTGGTTTGAATCAGGATCCAGTCAAGGTTCCCATATTGTGATTGGTTCTTGAGTCTGCGAAGTCTGATTTAGCCCACAGGTTTTGCCTCCTTCCCTTTAATTTTTTCTTACAATTTATTTGTTGAGAAAACTCAGTCCCTTGTCCTGGAGTTTCCCACCACCTGGATTTTGATGATTGTCTTCCTGTGGTGTCATTTAATAGATTCCTCTGCCCCTGTATTTCCTGTAAACTGGTGGGTAGATCTGCAGGCTGCATGAGCTTCAGGTTTGGTTTTGGGGGTAAGAATATTAAGTGGTGGGGTGCACGCCCCACAGGAGGCACAGAATGAAGGTGTTCCTTTTTGTGACGTTCACTGCTGTTGATCATGCTTGCCCAGATCCATTCTATAAGGATTTGTAAAATAATGGTATTTTGATCCTTTTACTCTTCTTCGTTGTTTTGTTTATTTTTTGTTTGTTTGTTTGTTTGTTTTGTTTCTTGTGTTTTTTTTTTTGGAGACAGAGTCTTGCTGTGTTGCCCAGGCTGGAGTGCAGTGATGCAATCTCAGCTCACTGCAACCTCCACCTCCTGGGTTCAAGTGATTCTCATGACTCAGCCTCCTGAGTAGCTGGAATTATAGGCGTGCACCACCATGCCCAGCTGATTTTTATAGTTTTAGTCAAGACGGAGTTTCACTATGTTGGCCAGGCCAGTCTCGAACTCCTGACCTCAAGTGATCCACCCGGCCTCCCAAAGTACTGGGATTACAGGCATGAGCCACCGTGCCCGGCTCTGTTACTCTTCTTTCTTTATTATCTGGAATACTTCTACAAAGAGAACTGCACCCCCGCCCCCTGCATCCACTGTTCAGCTACCCTGTGGTACAGTTCACTTAGGAACAGCAGGATGGATGTTTTTATTTTTTCTCCCTTATTTACCAATTTTCCAAATAATGAGTTTGTTCCCAGCATCCTCCAGAAGTGAGGTCAATCGCAGTTATTTCTACTGACACCCAAGGGTTCTCATCTTTGGACGGTGGGAGCTTCAGGGTGGCATGTGAGTCCTTTTGACATGACCCTAATTGTCCCTGGTAGTTTCTTTGCTTCCACTATGACAAGATGGTCCAGACTGACCTTATCTGTTCTTTTAAAGAGGAAATATATAGAGACCACAGTGAATATGGGTGCTGTGGATACCCATTGAAACTCATTAGTTATTAGGCCTTTTCAGCACAGAACTAGAAAACGTTTGCCTATTTGTTTTTAAGATAAAATGCATCTTAAGTGCATGCTGCTGTTTTCAGTTTAAATTCAAGGCTACCTAGTTTTACTTAACATGATCTTTTACTCTGGCTGAAAATCCTGCCTCTCAGCAGCAGCACCTAACTCACTTGCTTTATTCCATGATACACATGCAGCAGTCTGAGGATGATAATCACAGCACTGCCTCCAACAATCTGTGAAATTGTGTTACCAAACGCAATTTAAGTGGCTTTTGGTTTTGTTTGGGCACTTCTTTTTGTTATTAAGGAAAACCTTTTTAATGGGGGCATAATATTCCATATTTGAAGTAAAATTTTTTTCTACTTTTGAACATTAAGATTACATTGAAATTTTTGCTATTATAAAGAACTCTGTGGCCGGGCGTAGTGGTTCGTGCCTGTAATCCTAGCACTTTGGGAGGCCGAGATGGGCGGATCACTTGAGGTCAGGGGTTCGAAACCAGCCTGGCCAACATGGCAAAACCCCGTCTCTACTAAAAATACAAAAAATTAGCCGGGCGTGGTGGCGGGCACTTGTAGTCCCAGCTACTCGGGAGGCTGAGGCAGGAGAATTGCTTGAACCTGGGAGGCAGGGGCTGCAGTGAGCCGAGATTGTGCCACTGCACTCCAGCCTGGGCGACAGAGTGAAACTCTGTCTCAAAAGAAAAAAGAAAAAAAGAATGATGTGATAAACATCTTCACCTTTGACTTTTATTTCTGTTCAATCTTTTAGTCCAGACTCTTAGACTGAAGTGAGATAGTGAAAGAGAGTAGATGTGTTTAAGTGCCTCAGACACGTGGCCCACACCTTTTTTGGAACAAGGTGTGCATGGAAGGGCCTGTATCCCTGCACCATGATTAACATTTTTCATTAACTGTAATAGTAATGAATGGTTCTTTACCAAACAAACCCAAAACAGGGTGTGTTGTTTTATCTCTGCATGTTTACATTATCAGCCATAGGCTTGTTGGACGGTTATAGTTCCATTTTGAATTGTCTGTGGAGGGGAAATCAGGGAATTTTCTTGCTTTTCTTACTGATTTGCAAGACATTTTTACTATCTTAAGAAAAACAATCCTTCGTTACGTTTGTTGCAAAAATTTTTCTCACTTTGTCACTTGCCTTTCAGTTTTTATCATTTTTTTTTCTAGTACAATTTTAAAACTTTAAACTCTGGAGTTTGTTTATTTTGAGATGGAGTTTCGCTCTTGTTGCCCAGGCTGGAGTGCAATGGTGCGATCTCGGCTCACCGCAACCTCCACCTCCCGGGTTCAAGCAATTCTCCTGCCTCAGCCTCCTGAGTAGCTGGGATTACAGGCATTCGCCACCACGCCCAGCTAATTTTGTATTTTTAGTAGAGACGGGCTTTCTGCATGTTGGTCAGGCTGGTCTCGAACTCCCGACCTCAGGTGATCCGCCCAGCTCAGCCTCTCAAAGTGCTGGGATTACAGGCGTGAGCCACCATGCCCGGCCAAACTCTCGAGTTTTTTGACTGTTTCTCTCATTGTCCAGTCCCATCTGATATCGGTTACATGTTTCGCTGTATTTCCTTCTGGTTTAATATAAAGCTTCATTTATTTTTTCCATTTTTATTGTTTATTCCCTCACTACAAAAGTAATCCATGTTTGCCATGGAATTATAGAAGCCTAGGGAAGTATAGAAGACTTCATTTATTTTTACGTATAACTCTTTGAAAATCTGTAACTTATTATGGTGGCAAGGTTGAGGGAAGGATATGACTTGAGGATCTTCCATATAACTGGTTGTTCTAACACCATCTGCAGAACAATCTGTGTTTCTCTCCTATTGTACCCGAAATTGTTTGGTATATGAGAGTCTTTTCAAAATCTGCACCAAGTGCCCATTTGTTTCAATTCATGTGGTTATGTAATCCACCTTAACAACTCAAGTCCCTTTCTTGTTATTTTTCCTTTTCAAAAAATTGTCTTAGCTACTCTTGCCTGTTTATTCTTCGAAATACACCTGAGAATTATTCATTAAGTTAAACCATCTCGGTGGTCTATTGATTGGAATGGCCTTAGGTGGAGTCTGGCTTCCTCCTGATGGGCGGGCGAGCTGAGGGAGCCAGTGTCAGACATAGGGCCACTGTAGAGGGCTGGTCCTCCGCTCTGACCTCCTCGTGGAGCCTGGTGGGATGGGTGGGCAGGGGATAGGTGCCAGCTCTCGGCCTTGAGGTGCGGTCCGTCCGCGTGGCAGAGAGGAAACACACAGAAGCGATGGCGGAGATGCCAGGGAGGGCCGGTGTCATGCCTGGATGTGGAGGCTGATGCAGGGGGACTCCCGTGATTCTCGCTTGGTCAGCTGGGTGGATGGTGCTTCCCAGGCTGAGATTCTGGGGTTCTGTGGCCTGAGAGCTGCCTTATTCATGCAGGTGGCCAGGTGTTGTTATTACTCTCTTTACACAGGAGGACCTAAGCTTACTTAGTTGAGTGACTTGCCCTGGCTGCAGCCCCCCTGGGGTTCCACCCTGCTGTGTCAGCCGATGCCAGGGTCAGGCGGGCAGCCCTCCCATGCTGGTGCCTGTGGCCTGGCCCCCAGCTGTCACTCTGCACCAGGACTCCTCCCAAACGGGTTGGAAAGGTTTAGGGCGGGCCCACGGGCAGGCCCGTGCGTGACTTTTCACGCCTTCATCGGTGACCCAGTCAGCGACTGCTCAGTGGTACGGGTTGAACTGTGTCCCCCCCGGAAAGATTGCAGGAGTTCCTCTGAATGTGACCTTATTTGGAAATAGGGTCTTTTGCAGATGTAATGAGTTAAATGAAGTCAGACTGGAGGGGAGCAGGTCCTTAATCCAACCTGACAAGACTGCGTGGCCACCGTTGTGTGCACGTCACGTGCATGGGGAGAAGCAGAGAGGAGCGGCCCAGCTGCTGGCCAAGGACACCAAGGATGGCAGGCGCCTCCACAGGCCGGGAAGGGGATGGAGCAGTCCTAGCCAGGGGCTCAGAGGGAGCAGGCCCAGCCGACACCTTGACTCCGGCTTCCAGCCTCCAGAACTGAGAGAGAATGAGTTCCTGCCGTTTAACCCACACCATTTGTGGTATTTTTTAACAGCCACGGGAAACTAATACACGCAATAAAGGATTAATGAACACGCCTGCACACCGGCGTGGAATTCACTCTTCAGCCACTCTGGCAGGCCTTCCTGGTTGCACAGGAGTGAGGATGTGGTCTCCAGGGGCCTGTGGTTATCTTGTGTGTTGGGAGATAGGGAAGGGAATCCCGGGAGTCACTGCTGGGAGCCTGCTCTTCTGAGTCTCATAATTCTGCCCAAAGGTTGTGATTATGCCCATTTCACAGGCGAGGCAACTGAGGCCCACAGATGTTAAATGCCTTGCCAGGAGACTGCAGGCTTTTCCTCCTTTCTGGTCACCCCAAGCCAAGCCAGGCCTGCCCCCACCCACCTGGCATCACCTCACTGGAGAGCAATGCACATCCTGTTCCTGGAGGCATGTTTTTAGCTGACAGCACGCAGCCTGCAGGCCTAGGTTATCTGCACTATTTGATAACCATAGAGAAAGTGACCATTTGTTCACTTTTTGATCTGAGTTGCTTTTCATAGGCTTTTAAATTTCAAAACGTTTGAATGAAGTACTCTATGAGCTTTTTCATTTCATGTCAGCAATTCTCAAACATCGCCTGGCTTTGTTAACCTGGTCCTTGAGGTAAGATTGAGGGTGGGTGGGCAGGGTATTTTAGAAAACAGCCCTTTTAACTTCATCTGTGATCACTTTTCAGGGCTGTTGCTTAACTGTCCATATGTTGTGTTTCTGTGTAATTGTTTCTGTGCTCCACCGTATGAAGACGGACAGAGGGCTTGCAAAGACAAAAATAAATACGTCTCTTTTTTTTAAGAGTGTGATATTTAAACTTTTTCTATAAAATGGTTTTATCTTACAAACTTTGGCCACAATATCTATACCCCTGCTCCTAGACCAAAGGCCCTGAAAAACTAGGAACTATTTTTTTCTTTTATGTTAATATCTCTGGTCTGGCACAGGCATGGCATGGAGTAGGTTTTGAGAGTCAGTATGGAATCGTGGTGAGAAGTGAGACAGACTGCCTGGGTTTGAATTCCTCGTCTGCTACTGCTACTGAAAAAGTGTGTGACTGTGAACGAGTCGTTTCACCTGTCTGTGGAATGGGGAGAAGAGCATCCTCATCTTTGCCCTCATCTGCATTGTGGAGAGCTGGTTGACTGAAGGAACCAATGAATTGAATCCACAGAAGTCTACTGTGGGCCAATCTTAAGAACCCTCCTAGCTCTGTACTTTGGAAGTCTGTGAAAGTGCAAACTTTTAAATTAAGGGGTAGATTCCTTGGTCAGCTGAAGCGTGGGTGCTTCAGGATGAATCCTGCAGTTAACAGAATTGAGGGAAATTCCAAACCCGCATGGCCAGTCTCCTCCCAGCCCTTACAACAGCACCACAGGCACGGGAATGACTCAGAAAGTGAGTGGCTAGTGAGACAAGAAGAAAGGGTGCTCCATCATGCTCTTTCTTCTAATAGCTGGAAGAACATGATACCCCCAGGTCATCTCTTCACGGGGCTAGAGTAGGCTGCACTGTGTATGCTGGTTTCCAGATGTCCTGTTCTCTTCCCCACTGAACACTAGAGCTTTGGTTTCATGCAGTGTCCCTCCAGAGATAATGTTGTGTGTGTGTCTCTTGTTCTCCTTTTTTACAACACACAACATACGGCACTTACTGTTCTGCACCTTGTTTCTTTCACTTAACAGCATGTCATGGAGATCCTTTCCCTGTGTCTCTAAAGAGCTTCTTCATTGGTTTTTCTCGCCGTGTGGGATTCCTTGGCATGGATGTGCCCTGGTTTCTTTAACCAGACCTCTGCTCATGGGCATTCCAGTTGTGTCCACTCTTTTGCCATCACAGACAATATCATGGAATTAATGTATATATCCATTATTTCCTGTACATGTAGGTACACATATCTGATTAGGTCCTAGTGGAAATCGTGGGTCAATTAGCAGTTCTGATTTTGACGGACATTGACAAATTGTTTATTATCAAGGTTCTATTTTATGCTCCTGGTGCACCATCCCCTCACCTCCATGTATTAACAGGTATTGGATCTGGGCCATTCTTTTGGGTAAAAAATTGTGTCTTGGAGAAGTTTCAATTTGCAGTGCACTTATTATGAGTGTGGTTGAACCTCTTTCCCTTTTCTGTAAATTGTTTGATCATAGCTTTTGTTTCTGTTGCTGGTTTTTAAAGCAATTTGTCGGCACTCCTTATGTATTACAGAAATAAGCTCTGTTATGAATGAATGGAGTGTATTTCTTCCCAGTGTGTCATTAGCCTTTTGATTTTGCTCATGGCAGTTTCTAGAGATACACATGTTCTTAATTTTTATCTAGGCCATTTTATCAGTCTTTTCTCTTATGGTTCCTGGATTAGAAAGATTCTCATCACTGCAAACTTCCAAAAGCTTTTTCTCCTGGTTTCTCTTAGACCAGTTTATGGTCTCAGGTTTGCCTTTAAACTCTGATCTGCTTGGAATATGTCCGTGTAAAGTAGGAAATGTGAATCCAGTTTCATTGTTTCAGGTGGCTTCTCAGTTGTTTCAACTGATAATTGAATATTCCATATATTTCCCCTATTAGTTTGCAGTATCACCTTCCTCATAAATTAAATTCTTGTCCACAGTTTTGTCTACTTTTGGACATTTTATTTTGTTCCATTGATCTGTCTATTCATGTGTCAATGTCACCCTTTTAATTACCTAGACTTTATAATACATCGTGGTATCTGATAGGACTTATCCTCCCTTGTTACTTATTTTTCTTTTTGGAATTTTTCTAGCTACTTTTGCATTTTTAGCTTTCCATATGAACTTTAGAATAAGTTTGCCCACAAACTTAATTGGTATTTTTTTGTGTGAATTATATTAAATTTATAGATTAACATAAGAATTATTATTTCTATGATGTTTCCTACTGAAAAACGTGAACATGAAATGCATCTCCACTGTTTCAAATCTTACTTTTCATCTCTTAGGAGATTGAAACTTTTCTTTCATGTAGATATTATAAGTCTTAAATTTATTTCTAGGTATCTTGTATTTTAGAATAAAATAGTCTAGACTGTGAAAGAAATAGGATGTTTTCTTTCTTTAGATCTAATCACTGGCTGTTGTCTTTACCATAGGAAAACTATTGATTTCCGTGTTAATTTTTTTTTTTTTTTTTTTTGAGATGGAGTTTCGCTCTGTCGCCCAGGCTCTAGTGCAGTGATGAGATCTCGGCTCACTGCAACCTCTGCCTCCCGGGTTCAAGCAATTTTCCTGCCTCAGGCCCCCGAGTAGCTGAGATTACTTATGTGCCTACCACACACCCAGCTAATTTTTATATTTTTAATAGAGACAGGGTTTCACCATGTTGGCCAGGCTGATCTTAAACTCCTGACCTCAAGTAATCTGCATGCCTTGGGCTCTCAAAGTGCTGGGATTACAGGTGTGAGCCACCGTGCCCAGCCTGTATTAATTTTTTAATGTGACCATATTACTAAATTCTTTCATTGCTTCTTATTCTCTTAGGATTTCTAGAGATCAGAGTGTTTGGGGTAAAATTCAAATAGTAAAGGAATATGGGAAATAATTGTACTGATTAAGAAAATTAGAAGTTAAATGATCTTATGTTTCTCCTCTAGGGGGTTTTGTCTTGAAAATACCAGTTCTTAAAATGTAAATAATTGTTCGATAGATTTAAAGTTTTCCCTCTTTTCCACTTTTTTAACAGGAAAGCTTGCTTTGAAAACAAAGTCCTTTTTAATAGAAGTTGATAATTGAGTTCTGCAAGGATTTAGTTTTAATAACATAGAGACCTATAATTCTTTATTCTATTTGTGCTGAGAATTAACCTTGACTTAAGTAGTACGTTCTTAGAAATAATTTAGAGATAGAAAGAAAAAGTTGCTAACTTAGGGCTAGTACCCAGCACAGGGTAAGGGGAGGAGCCCTGAACTGGGTGTTCTTATCCTGGCTCTGTCTGCAGTTCATGATAACGTTGCCCACTTTCTTGGGCCTTGGTTTCTCCATCTGTAAAACAGGACAAATGGTCCCTACCTCCCAGGCTGTTGTGAGGAATTAAGTGAGATAATACATGGAGAGAGCACCTAGTCTACTGCATGGCACGAGTTTGATATTCAACAAAAGCTGGCTATTGTTACTATTAACATGTCTGTTAATTTCAGCCACCCATGGTGTGTTAGGATTCAGGTTGGGCTGCTATGACAGAGACCTCCAGATAGTGAAGCAAGATAGATCTGTTTTCCTCTTTCGTAACAGCACAGACACCGGTGTAGCGGCTCGGAGGCTGTGGACACCCAGCTTACTACTGTTCTGTAGCTCCCTCGTTCTCAGCGTGCGATGTCCTCTCCTGGCCCCCGCTGGCTGCTCCAGCTCCTACTCCTGGGTCATCACTCAGCCTGCAGGAAGCAAGAAAGGAAAGGGCGGGGTGGCACGCACCTTCTCTCAAGAGTGAGCCCGAGAAGGAAGCTGCTCCCATCTGTTCCGCCAACTGCAAGGGAATGTGGGACCAGGAAGGCTTATGCCATCCTAACGTTTTTCTTACCATAGAAGAAGGGGAAAACGATCCTTGCGGACAACCAGCAGTTAGAGCCCTGCTTAGCACCTGGAAACGACACTTCTCACCTACACCAGGTGGCCACATACCTAGGGCTGCTTGCTGGATGGGAGGGCTCAGGGTCTGGCATTATGTTTTATTTCACCATAGGGCCGTGAGGGTATGTAATTCCCACATCTAAATCAGCCTTGTTCCTGCTCCGGGGCTGGCTTTGGAATGCTGCCATTTCATAGTAAACAGGTCCTACAGTGACAAGGTGTCACCTGGAATCTGGTATCTGAACTTGCTGAGGTGTGGCAGACACTGTTAATGGAGGTCAGGTGTTGTTCTTCTGCGCCGGGTATACGGTCAGCAGATGGCTACTAGACCAACGTGGGTGAAAGGGGCATTTGGACACAACGCGTGAAGTCCAGTTCCTGTCACTTACTAACCGGCGCTGGATGCCACTCAGTGCCCATGCCTTGTCTCTAGAGCTCTGCAAAAGGGTGCTTTGTGTATAATTTTCTCAGAAACATACGAGACCAGACAACAAAAGCTCTGCTGTGTCTCGGGCCACTTCTCTAATTAGGAAAAATAGTAAAAAGGTGGGGTGGGGTGGGGGAGGTGCGGCATCGTTGGAGGTTGAAAGCTGTGTTTAGTCCGGGACAGTTCTACCTTTAATTATCCTGTCTGAGGTGACTTTAATGAGCATTATTTTTAATGCCTTCATTTAGGGGGGTGGGGGGAATGCTTTTTGCATCCAACCATAGAAAACAGCTTTATTCATGAGGCTTGAAGGACAGCGTCGTTGCTGTCGGGTTTGTAGTGGTTGTGAGCGAGAAACCTCTCGGTTTGTAGCGGCTCTGAGCCAGAAACCTCTTATCAGAGTCATGACCAGAAGGCGAATGGCCAGTTACTATCAGGGAACCACAGGGTTCAGGCTGGCTGGGGTGCCTGCTTCCCATGACCATTTCCCAGCGGCAGACGTGGGGGAAGACAGGGCCAGACACAGGGCAGGCAGGGTTGGCCTCCCAGGGGCCTCCCAGTTCCTCTGATAGCATCTCAGTCCACTTGGGCTGCCATAACAAAGATAACTTAGACTGGGTAATTTATACACAATGGAAATATATTTCTCATAATTCTGGCCTGTAATCCCAGCTACTTGGGAAGCTGAGGTGAGAGGATTGCTTGAGCTTAAGAGTTGGAGGCTGCAGTGAACTCTGATCGTAACACTGCACTCCAGCCTGGGTGACAGAGGGAGACCCCATCTCTAATCCATTATTTTATTTTATATATATTTTTAAATTATTTTAAAAAGAAAAAAGAAATGAACCTAAGTGACAAAAAAGCATGGTTTATTTAAAAAAAAAAAAAACTTTATTTCTTACAGTTCTGAAGGCTGGGAAGTCCAAGATCAAGGTGCAAGCAGATTCAGTGTTTCTGAGGGCTGATCCTCGTGGGGTGAGGTTTATGAGGGTGCTGCTAGGGTTTGAACGTGTTCTCCAGACTTCATGTGTGGGAAACTTGATCTCCAGTGCAGCAGTATACGGAAGTGGAGCCTAATGGGACGTATTTGGGTCTTGGGGGCACTGCCCTCATGAATGGATTAATGCCATTATTGCTGGAGTGGGTTCATAATAAAAGGATGAGTTTGGTCCCTTCTTGCTCTCTCTCTCACCTTGTAATGCCTTCGACCAGCTTATGATGCTGCAGGAAGGCCCTTGCCAGATGCTAGGTCCTCGATCTTGGAATTCCAAGCCTCCAGAACTATGAGCCAAATAAATTTCTGTTCCTTACAAATGACCCAGTCTCGGGTATTCTGTTATGGCAGAACAAAACGGACTGCGACTAGCACTAACAGAACAAAACGGACTGCGACTAGCACTAACAGAACAAAACGGACTGCGACTAGCACTAACAGAACAAAACGGACTGCGACTAGCACTAACAGAACAAAACGGACTGCGACTAGCACTAACAGAACAAAACGGACTGCGACTAGCACTAACAGAACAAAACGGACTGCGACTAGCACTAACAGAACAAAACGGACTGCGACTAGCACTAACAGAACAAAACGGACTGCGACTAGCACTAACAGAACAAAACGGACTGCGACTAGCACTAACAGAACAAAACGGACTGCGACTAGCACTAACAGAACAAAACGGACTGTGACTAGCACTAATCCCGTTCACGAGGGGAGAGCCCTCATGACCTAATCTAAGCACCCCCACCTCTCAATACTGTCGCATTGGGGGTAACAATATGAATTTTGGGGGAGCACCAACACTCAGACCCTCGAGTGTGGGTTCCTCCTGACATGCCATGAAATCTCTGTTCATGCTCCAAGTTAAGGCATCATTATCAGCTCATTGCCCCAACCAGAAACGGGAGTCAGCCCCTTTAAACCTGCCAACCCCCACATTCCAAAGGTCCCTGCCAGCCTAGGCAGTACTCTACCAGCCTTACTTCACACCCTTCATATTCTCCTCCTTCCAACAGATTCTCCATCTTGCGGTCTAATTTACTTTTTCTTCTTTTTCTCTTCCAGATATGGTCACATGTAGCTTAACAACTGGGATGCATTCTGAGTAATGCATCAGTAGGCAATTTTGTCATTGTGTGGACATCAGCGAGTGTACTCACAAGCCTAGATGTTAGAACCTACTACACACCTAGGCTGTGTGGTACAGCCTGTTGCCCCAGGCTACAAACCTTAACAGTATGTTACTGTACTGAACACTGCAGGCAGTTGTAACACAATGGTTAGTATGTGTATATCTAAACACACCTAAACATAGAAAAAGTGCAGTAAAAATATGGTATTATAATCTTAAGGGACCACTGCCGTATATGCGTCATTGACCCAAATGTTATGTGGCACATGACTGTATAATGTTTCTAAAGAATAAAGGTGGTTGGGCACTTTGGAAGGCCGAGGTGGGCATATCACTTGAGGTCAGGAGTTCAAGACCAGCCTGGCCAATATGGTGAAACCCCATCTCTACTAAAAATACAAAAATTAGCCTGGTGTGGTGGTGCACACCTGTAATCCCAGCTACTCGGGAGGCTGAGGCAGGAGAGTCGCTTGAACCTGGGAGATGGAGGTTGCAGTGAGCTGAGATTGTACCTCTGCACTCCAGCCTGGGTGACAGAGCAAGACTCCATCTCAGAAAAAAAAAAATAATAATAAAAAAAGAATAAAGGTAATATAGCTGCATTTGGAAAACAGAAATAAGGAAGATATAATCACGTGTAATTCTATGTCCTAACAGCCATCATTACTTTTTATGTTTCCTTTTGGTGTTTCTTAACTATGAGCATGATTTATTCTCATAATTAGAGTTTATAAACAATCATTTTCTCTTGGTTTTCTCTCAACCTGTTAAGGCTTTTCCTAAAAATTCTCTTGAGTCATTCAGTAGGTGTGTACTATTTAACCACCCTTCTGTTATACCATGGTTAGCTTCTAATTTTTCACCTTTACAAGCAGTATTGCAGTGAACATTTTCATGTGCATAACTGTTTCAGTATTTTGAACTGTATTTCTTTGGGATAGATTCACAAGGTCATAAAACATGAAGTTTTGTTGCAAAATTGGTGATCAGATGTTTAGGGCATTTCATAGTGCTGTCAGCAATGTTTAAAAATGTCAGACTTCATAGTATCTATGACAGCGGTGGCTATCATTTTTCTGATTTTTTTTCTCCTGTTTTGAAAATGTATATAGAAAAAAAATTTTTTCTCCTAATGAAAGAAGTAATACAAGCTTGTTGTATAAAATTTAGAGAAGCCAAAAGAAAATTAAAATCAACTATATAATCTTGCTTTTTCTGTGTGATAAACACTGGTAATATTATGGGCTGTATCCTATCTGAATTTTTAAAAA
Source organism: Homo sapiens (assembly GCF_000001405.40). NCBI lineage: Eukaryota > Metazoa > Chordata > Mammalia > Primates > Hominidae > Homo > Homo sapiens. The sequence goes on along the minus strand of NC_000005.10, from coordinate 178,446,393 downwards.
TATGTATATATAATTTCTTTTCCTTTTATTCTTTCTTTCCTTTTTCTGTTTATTTCTTTTGTTAAATTGAATAACATTATTTTTCATGTAGTTTTATGCTTGTGTGAACATCTTTTTAGGATATTAAATATTTTTCACAAAATTCCCCATTTGTACAAATTTAGATTATTTTCAGTTTTTGCTATTTTAATTAATATTGTATGACCATGTTTATAGCTACATCTTTGCACATTTTAAAGCTCTTCTATTTAAGAACGCCCCTGTACTGGGTGTTATAATGTGTTTAAAAATATATATATATGGAAATTTTTTGATTAAAAAAATTTTCTTGTTTAATTTGAATTAACGTAATTAAAGAGGTGGCAGACTTTTTATATGCTACTAGACAGTCATAGTTATTTTGCTAATTATTTGTGTAACTTTTTTCTCTTTTACATCAGACATTTCAGCCCCTTCCAGGTGATAAGGAAAAGATTTTTACACATGGAAGATATTAATCTTTTGTCTTGAATATATATTGCAAAATGGTTTTCAGTTTCTCAGCTGCCTTTCAATTTCACTTAATCTTTTTTTTTATTTTTTGATTCTAAACATGTTTCTTCATGGCATCTGTCTTTGGTGTCATATCCTGGAAAGATTCTTTGCCCTCCTAATAGTAGAAATATTTTCTTCTAGTGCTTCTAAGGTTTAATTTTCTGTAGTTAAATATTTAAACTCTCTGTACTTCATCTTTTCGATGTAGTTTCTAATCTACTTTTCCTCTCCAAATAGGTAGCAAGTCGTTCAAAGTGGTGATGTCATAGAAATGACTGGTTGGCTACTTTAGATGTCAACTCTTTTCAGTTTCATATATAAATTTAGTACGATTTCCATCAGAATCGTAATGGGACGCTTTGGGAATTTGACTACATAATTATAAATTTCATCTAGGAGAATAAACATGTACAAATGGCCAAGAAAATTTCAGAAGGGAAAAATTCAAAGGGGAGAGACACTTAGGGCATCTGATATTAAAATATCTTATAAAGCTATAGTAATGATAGTGAAAACAGATGTTACCAGTATAGGAACAAACAAATCAGTGAAACAAAGAAATGTCTGAAACAGACCCCAGTATAAAAAATAATTTAGTACAATGTATCATTATAGTGACATATTTCAAATCACCGGGAAAAGGAAAGATTCTTAAATGAATGATTTTGACTAATTAATGTCGTAAGTTATATTAACAAATTTTATAATATAGAGCCATCCTTGCAATCCTAGAATAAATACTACTTGGATCACATGTATTATTCTTCTAGTCTGTGTTTAAATCAAATTTGCTAATGTTTTGTTTAGGATATTAGGTACTAGCACTAGCCAGGCAATGTTTTTTTTCTCAGAAATAAATAGCAAGTAACATTTATTGAACACACGTGATGTACCAGAGACTTTACTAAGTGCTGTGTATACATTGTGTAGCTTAATCCTCACATGAGGTAAGCTACTGTATTATATTTATATTTCCCCATTTCACCTACGGGGAAAACTAAAGCAGAAAGGGCTTAAAGAACTTGTAGTGTGGGTTTTTTTATTTGTTTGTTTTGTTTTGTTTTCACAAAAAGTCTCACTCTGTCGCCCAGGTTGGAGTGCAGTGGCGCCATCTCAGCTCACTGCAACCTCTACCTCTCAGGTTCAAGCAATTCTCCTGCCTCAGCCTCCTGAGTAGCTGGGATTACAGATGTACACCACCACACCTGGCTAATTTTTTGCATTTTTAGTAGAGACGGCTTTTCACCATCTTGGCCAGGCTGGTTTCGAACTCCTGATCTCAGATGATCTGCCTGCCTTGGCCTCCCAAAGTGCTGGGATTACAGCTGTAAGCCACCACACCCAGTCTTGTCCTGTGTTTTGCCACTAAAGTGCACTGTCTCACCATCTCATGTCATTTGCCTCTCATTTTGAAAATAAGAGACACAGAGGAAAACTCTAATACAAAACTACACATATCCAAAGTAGAAGTTTTAGGAGGAGAGAACAGAGAAAAACAAATATGAAAGAAATAATCAACAGAGTTCCCTGAGTCTTCAGATCAAAAGGCCTCACTGAATATTTGGCAAGATTAATAAAACAGAACTACCTAGATATTTGGGGGGGATGGGATTTGTTGACATTTTCTTTATATCTTGTTTGTTTACTTTTTTATTTTTTATTGAGACAGAATCTTGCTCTGTAACCCCGGCCGTGGTGCAATCACAGCTTACTGCAGCCTTGACCTCCTGGGCTCAAGGGATCCTCCCACCACAACCTCCCAAGTAGCTGGGACTACAGACAGGAATGTGCCACCACACCTGGCTAATTTTTTTATTTTTTGTAGAGGCAGGGTTTCACCATGTTGCCTGGGTTGGTCTCAATCTCCCAGGCTCAAGCGATCCACCTGCCTCAGCCTCCCAAAGTGTTAGGATTACAGGCGTGAGCCTCTGTGCCCAGCCCATTTTCTTTATATCTTAACATAATATATTTTTATAAGTGGCCATATGTTAGATGACAGCATAGTTCAAAATCAGAAATTACATAGGTCCCATTATTTAACCATTAGGGTATACAATCAGGAATAACTAATAAAAAAAAAATGCTTAGAAATTCAAAAATAAGGCCGGGCTCGGTGGCTGACGCCTGTAATCCCAGCAATTTGGGAGGCTGAGGCAGGCGGATCACTTGAGGTCAGGAGTTTGAAACCAGTCTGGCCAACATGGTGAAACCCCGTCTGTACGAAAAAAAAAAATAGCTGGGCATGGTGGCGAGCGCCTGTAATCCCAGCTACTTGGGAGGCTGAGGCACAAGAATCACTTGAACCTGGGAGGCAGAGATTGCAGTGAGCCGAGATCGTGCCTCTGCACTCCAGCCTGGGCAACAGAGCAAGACTCCATCTCAAAAAAGAAACAAAAAACAACAAAAAATTTACAGAACTGGACATCCCCAGAAGAAGAAGATTTTCGTTTTTCGTAACTTTTGAAAACTCTGGCCAGAATCTGAACAAAGAGGAGCTGAGTGGCTGCAAGACATTTGGCCTTTGTGTGTCTGGTCTTGAATCACCTTCCAGAGTAGAAGTCGTTCGGATCCGGTTAGGAAGAGCGCTCGAGGCTCTGAAGTTGCAGCTCACTGAGAAAGTAGGGTTCGTTTCCTGCCTTGAACCAAAGTGGCACATGGTAAGTGTCTTCACATGGGTTCTGCCGCAGTGACTTTAATGGGTTTCAGGGAAACGCTGTAGGTGGGTGGGGTGAGGACGTGCAGGTGCTTCCTCCCACTGAGGACTGCAGGCCACAGAGCTCAAATGAAGGCAGTGGGACAGCGAGACCCCACTGGGACCACACAGATGCACAAGCTGCTTCAAACCTTTCAGGGCCCTTAAATTCCCAGCAACTAAAAGGAAACAGGCCGCCTGGGGTGCTGGAAACCGCCGGCCTGGAGTCAGCCGAAGGTTCGGTGAGACCGTGGGAGGCCACCCTTTGGTGGCTCATTCTCCCCTGCTTGTGAAATAGGGATATGGGAGGGGGGCAGAACAGACCACGGGTTCCCAAGCTGGGCTCTGGAGAGTTCTAAGGGTGGCAGAGGCCCTTCCCCAGCAGGGGTGGCGAGGGGGAGTACAGCAGGTCAGGTCTTGGCGCCTGTGCTCCCTCCAGCCAGAGCTGTTCCACTCCGATTCTTCTCTAGCCTGGCCTCTCCGAGATGCCTTCTGTTTAAAGAGCAGCTTCTGCTGCTTTAAAGTAAGATTTTAATCATCAGGGGACTGAGCGATTTGTGAGGCCCCTTTGGCGCCCTGGGTTTCCCTGAGTCAGCAGGAAGCACGCTGGTGCTCCCCGAATGGCAGACTGGGACCCCAGCTGTCAGGGAGGGAGACGCTCGGGCCTATCATGTTAGATTCATAAAGCTTGCACTCTGGGAAATTGCTTTTGACATGCTCAGGGGTAAAACGTTTCTCAAAAGAAGCTCCACATAATTTAAATGATGACATTTTAAATCATGTGGAGATGGCGGTGATCTTTAAAAAATGTTCCCATCTCAATTTGCAAACCTGTTTGGACAAACCAGTCAAAGGCAATTTTCCTCATGGAATTACCAGCAAACAGAACCTTTCATAAGACTTCTGTGCCTCAGACAGGCCTCTCCCTCTTTCCTGACCACCCACCCATCCCAGCTTTCCTAAGACAAAGAGAGAGAGATGGAGTTCAGACTGTTTTTTTTTTAATCATCTGGGGACCTTGGCCAAGGGGAAGAGGAGAAAGCAGGGGCCAGGCTCGGGGTCTGACCAGGCTGCAGGACTCGGCGTGCGTGGTTTCTCAGTTGGACGTCCCAGAGGGCCAGGCCCGTGGGTGGGGACTCAGGTTGAAAATCAAAGCCTTGGCCAAACAGATGAGGATTTGGGGCAGGGAAACTGAGGCATGAGCCACTGGACCCTCTGCCTGGTCATGCTTAGGCTATGAAGTACACGGTTTCTTCCACAAAACCCCAGTCCTCCTGTTATTGATGACTTGGGGCCCACAGGTTTCCTTCATTGCTGCCATCAGGTTGGGGTTGGTGGGATTCTGAGATCTGGGCAAATGGCACAGAATGTTTAGCCCAAAGACAAGCAGATGAGGTTTGTGGTAGAGCCAAATGCTGATTCTGCCCACCCCGCGTCATCACCCCGCGTCGTCACCCCGTGTCGTCTGTTAGGGGTTCCTTGACTATTTTGTTTGTTTCAAAAGCATGTTTGTGTTTGTCTTTCTCCAAACATCAGGGTGAAATGGGATCTTAAGAACCATTAAGGCAGCCCTTTGAAACTCTAGCCCCGCATCCCCCCATCTCTGTCTTTATAATTTGGGGTCAGCTTCATCAGCAAGCCCCTGTGCGCCTGTACCGAGAGGCCTTGAATTTGGTTTCCGGCTCTGCAGTTGCCCTCTAAAATTCTCAATAGTGTGTGAACAGGGTCCCACACTTTGATTTTGCAAATTACGCAGCCTGTCCCATGTGGAGTTTTAGATTTGAATTATTATTTTATTAGTATTTTTAGGCTATATATCTTCACTCTAAAAAATGCACGTGTATGTATTAGTTTTATAAGTGAGATTTACAGCAGTCATTGAACTTCTTGCAGAGCTTTGCTGCCAGTCTTAACTGTAGGGTGTGGTCTGTCAGCCAACAAACAGCTTTTTAAAGAATGTTTGCATGTTGTGTGAGAGGGAAAAAAATACGACACAAAGGGCCTTTAATCAACATGCTTGCAAAGCCACTCTCACAGAGTAGACGTCTTATTGGGTAATTTCTGGGTCCCAAGCCCCATGCTGACCACAAGGATACAGAGAGAAACAGAGCACAGCCCCTGCCCTCAAGGAGTGCCTTGTCTAGTTGAAATCTGTTTCGTAACTTTCTAAACCTCAAGCCACTCTAAGAAATATGCAACCCAGAATTCAGTACACATAGAGATAATACACACATAGAAAGATGAAACAGTAGGCCGGGCATGGTGGCTCATGCATGTAATCCCTACTTTTTGGGAGGCCAAGTAGGGTGGATCACCTGAGGTCAGGAGTCCGAGACCGGCCTGGCCAACATCATGAAGCCCCATCTCTACTAAAAATATAAAAAATTAGCTGGGCATGGTGGCGGGCACCTGTAATCTTAGCTGCTCAGGAAGCTGAGGCAAGAGAATCGCTTGAACCTGGGAGGCAGAGGTTACAGTGAGCCGAGATCTCACCACTGCACTCCAGTCTGGGCAACAAGAGTGAAACTCCATCTCAGAAAAAAAAAAAAAAGAAAGATGAAAACAGTCATCTCATGAAATAAGGTACTTACTGTATACACCGCATTCTCTTTTCTATTGTATTTCATTTTTTAAAATACTGGTTAGAGCACAGTTGATTTCACAACCCATTAGTGTGAGTTTTTAAAGCACTGCTCTAATGAGAGAGATTGATTTTTGCTAAGCATTATCCTAGCGGTGGTGCAGACTTCCAGAGGAAGCGGCATTTGCCCAGAGTGTTGAAGGATGAGATGGAGCTTGCGGTGGAGAAGCTGGCGGTGGTTATGAGGTGAATTCCAGAGGGGGTCATGAGCCTGGAGAGAGTTCCACGGGGCTTGGGTCCTGGGGAGTTGGTCCCGGAAAGGCAAATCTGCAGATGGTGGAGCACATTGGGTGTCCAGCAAGATGCTGTACTCTCTCCTGTGTGAGCCATAGGAAGTGGTTTGTTTTTTTAACAGCTTTATTTGAAATATACCATAAAATTCACCTATTGTAAGTGGACAGGGCCATGATTTTTAGTAAATGTATGGAGTTGTCCAACCACCATCCAGTTTTAGAACATCTCCATCACCCCAAAAAGCGCCCTGGTGCCCATGTCCGTCAATCCCCGTTCCTTCCCCCAGCCCCAGGCAACCACTGATCTGTTTTCTGTCTCTGCAGATTTGTCCTTTCTAGAAACCGTGTACACATGGACTCCTACAATCCAGTCCTTTGTGTCTGGCTTCTGTCACTCAGCGTCGCATTTCTGGGGCTCATCCATGTTGTAGCATGTAGTGGTATTCCATTGATTGGCTACACTGTAGTTTCTCCATTTGCCAGATGATGGATGCTTGGATTGTTTCCAGTTTGGGGCTATTTTGAAGAACGCTTCTATGAGCATTTGCATCTGAGTTGTATGGACGTATGTTTTCATTTCTCCCGGGGAGATCCTAGGAGCGGAGTTGCTGCACTGCATGGTGAACGTATGTTTAACTCTTTAAGAAACTGCCTCGCTGACTTCTGAAGCAGCTGCACCGTGGCGTGTTCCCACCAGCAGCTTATCTCGTGTCTTCACATCTGCTGGAGGATTTGAGCAGAGGAGAGATGTGATGAGACTTGCTCTTCAGAAGATTCCTCCAGCTGCCGGGTGAGGGTCACTGAGAGGGAAAGGAAGAGGCAGGAGGGAGAAGTCTGGGTCCTAGGCTAAAGCTCCGGCTCTGGGTGGACCAGAGACAAGGAGCTGGAGTCCAGGGATGTGTTCAACAGGGTCTGGCATGGAAGGAGCAGGAGCCACAGAGACTTTGGTAACTGGCTCAGCCTCAATCAGCAAGTGGCTGAGAGAGAAAAGATGGAGGTGACTTGGGAGCAAGACTTCCATCTGGACTGCGATGATGGTGCCGGGGCCTCTGGCTCTTGCCTGTCCATGCATCATGCATGGCCAGATCAGCAGTCACATCCCTTCAGAAGGTTCCCACATCCTGTAAGGGGAGTGGCTCCCAGTCCTGGCTGCCCTTTTGAATCACCTGGAAAACTTTAAAATCTGCTGGCTGGGTCCTGATGTAACTGATCTGCGCACAGCCTGGGCATGGAGAGGTTCAAGCTCCCAGGTGATTTGAATGCACACTGGGCTGAGTCAAGCTCTCAGGCGCAGGTGCACACTGGGAGCTCCAGGGGAGTTTTACAAACTACTAAAGTGCTGAGTCCCACCCAGAGCTTTTGGTGCAGTTGGGACAGGGGGAAGCCTGTGCACTAGGAGTTGTAACCTTTCCCCGGGTGATTATAACGCGCAGCCACGTTTGGGGACTGCTGCTTGAAGGCAACTTGTTTGGACCCAAGAGTCAGTTCTGAGCAGATGCTTCTAATGCTAGCATTTCCTAAAAGAGTGTTCTTGATTCTCTCGCTCTTTATAAGTAGACCCAGAAATCTTTTTTTTTTCCTTCTCAATGTACAGATTATTTTTCTGAAGCATTTTATAGTACATGTTGCTAAAAAATAAAACCAGATTCCACTGCACGTGTTCTGTAAACCCATCTGGTTTACATAAAATATTTACAAATGCAGATACAGAGGAATTTCAAGGTATTTTTGGGTAAGGAACCAGCATGTTAGCTGTGTGTTGCCTGCTCTGTGGTCTCCATAGCATATGATACATAAACACCAGTCAGATACAGGGATGAACTGCGTTCCTACAGGTAAAGCGGTTTATTTCACCAGGACCCCAGATCTGGCTGGAAAGCTCACTTATGTTTACTTTTCTTGCCCAGATATTTTCAGATAGTAAATTTAAATAAACAATATGATAGCTCCTACATACCTTTTTTTCCCCCTCCAGGTGTTTGGCATTCTTGCTCATGTAACCCAAGTATCTTTTAACTCTTAAAGCAGTAACTTGAGGAGGGGCCAGAGCTGTGCTTTCAGCTTGATATTGTAAAGTTGGACTGTGTTACCAAGTGCCCTGGTGTCTTCAGTTCTCTAGGTGCTGTCTGTGTTCTTCACACTTAATCCCTTAATTCTTTGGTTTGGACCACAGCAGAGGATCTGAGGATGGGGACAGGTGCCACAGAGGAGCTGTGCCCCTGCACATCTTTGGCCCCAGGTCCTCTTCCAGGGAATTAAGACACATTAGCTGAGATTTTTTTGAGGCCTAAGCAGCAGCCCTGCCTAAACCTCAAGTTTAATCACTGTGGTGGTCAGGGGCCTCTGAGCCCATGGTGGGCACTCAGACCAGGCATGAGCAGCTCAGCCCAGCCGAGGCTGACCCCACATCCCACCTCCCCCCAGGCCCCTTGCTGGTTGGGGTCCTGGGTCCCGTCCCACAAGCACCCTCCAGGACTGGGTTTGCTTCTTGACTCCCGCATCTTGGCTGATGAACATTGGGAAGGAGCTGGCCCTGGGACTGATGGAGACGTAGGTCTGGCCACAGAGGGGCCAGGTGAGCAGCAGGGAAGTAGGGGAGTACGGGGCCATGACTGTGTGATCCAGGTGGGACAGTGGGTACCCTCAGGGCCTGGGCCCTGAGAACTCAGTGGGACCAGGGCCATATGCTCAGAGGCTGGACTGACCCCTGGGCAGGCCACATGCCTTGCTGGGCAGATAGCGGCTGGGGCCCAGCTCATACAGCCTTCTACCCTCCTCCCCACCACACATCCACTCATCCACTGGCAACTGTGGCATGGGAGGCTCCTGCTGGGCTTGGGGATTCCATAGAAGTGGACCAGATCCTGGCGACCTCCTGCTCCCTGGACCCGGCTCAGTTCTGCTCCTGCAACCTCTCCTGGCACCCTGTTTCATCCCAGGTAGGTCCTAAAGAGCCAGAGGTTGGGGAAATTACTTTAGGGTCACAGCGAGATTTCTGTGACAGCCAGTAAAGTAAGCTTTCTGTTTCTGGAACCAGATCCTGGAGCCCAGGACCCCTGTGGGCTGTGTATTGTATGTTTTTCTCTTTTAATCACCAGATGAGGTGAAGGGCAGGAACAGGAGTGTGGCTCACTCCCAGCTGAATGACCTCCTGGCCGAGGCTTGCTCCCACCAGGAATTAGATAAAAGAACAAGATTATACTCCACTGAGGTGGAGGGCAGGGTATTAAGAATATATGACTTGGCAATAGACAGTCCCAGGTTCAAATCCCTGTTCTACACAGCCTTGTGATCTTAGGGAGGGGGATCACCAGGAAACAAGCAATTCGAGAGATGAGGCTCTGAATGCGTTCTGTCAATTGTGCAGGCCAGGTCGACCCCAGCTCCACCGTCTACCACTGTGCAGCTTTAACTGAGAAGTGAAACCTCTCTGACCCCCAGTCTCTTCTTTTGCAAAATGGGGGTAACACTTCTCAAGAGTTTTTACCAAGCCTGCCAGGGGCTTGGCACTGTGTCTTCACATGGTAAGTACCCAATAAATGTTAGCTGTGAGCTCTGTGGCCTGGACGGGTAATGAGGAATGAGCAGAGTTTATCTTTGAGTTCCCACCTCTTTGTTCAGTAAGGAGGGCTTAGCTGGTCACCACCGCTGCACAGGGATGCCACAGGGAAGCAGCACCTCGCTCAGCATTCTGGAGCTCTTGTTCCGAGTCAGCCCTAGGGCATCCTTGACAATGGCACATTTTGGGAAGAACACACAGTGTGTTTCCAGGTGGTTTGGACCGTAGTTGGTGTTCTGTGCCTTCTCCCTTTGAAACGTACCCCACCCTCTGCACCTGCTCTTCCTGCCCTCCCCTTCCAGCCACCCCGACCCCACCCCCCAATGCAGCCTTGCAGGGTCCTGAGGTTCTTGCCCTCTCCCCGTGCTCGCCACAACCGCTGACCTGGACACCGGCTGCCTGGGATGGGGGCAGCCTCCTCTCTGGTCTTTCTGCCTCTGTCTCTCTCACTTCCCACACTGTCCATAGCACTAAACACCAGACATCTGGGTTTGGGACTCAGCATCCCCTCCTAGGATGGTTTTCAGGGGTCTGGGCTACCTCACCCCCAACTTTTCCAGGAGGGTCCTTGCTATGCCCCCATTTTGCTCATGTTGACCTCCCTCTCCCCTCCCACTCAGCCTGTTGAGGCCAGGCGCATCCTTCGTGCCTCAGTTAAAATGTCACCAGCTCCGTGAAGTCGGCCTTCAGTGCCCAGGCAGAATTAAGCATGCTTGCTGTGCATGCCCACGATGCCCAGCACATTTGGCGCACTTGTAATGACCGCTGTGTGGCTGCCTCCCTCTTGTTCTGTAAACTCATCCCGGGCAAGAGTCAAACAGTCCTAAAATGATGTGGCATCAACATTTTCTGTGCTACCTATGTGGCAAGCATCGTGTTAGACGATTCTGCGCGTCATCTGACTCAGTCCTCAGTGACAGGTCCGGGAAGTTGAGGGGGATGGGGGTGCCCTCTCCAGGGCCACCTCCAAAACATACCATCTAAGGTAAACAGGGCCCTGCATGCAATTGCGGCTTCAAAAGCAGCTTTCCCTCTCAACACCCTGAAACCAGATCACCTCCCTCCCCCTCGCTTTTCCTCATCAGAAATTCTGCAGCTGCCCGGGAAGCCCACGAGATGCATCCTGTAGTTATCTAGTTTTGCAGGTGAAGTAACTCAGTCTGAGAGAGCTCAGTAACTCGCCTGAGGTCAGGTGGCAGAGCTGGGATGGAACGCCACCATGGCAGCTGCTGTGAGCCATGCGTGGTCTGCACCCCAGGGCTGGGCTGCCTTTCTGTGCCCAGCTCAGGGCTCCGCACCCAGGTTTGCCAAGTGGAGGGTTGAAGTTGGGACTCCTGAATCACCCCACATATAGGTGAAGATCACTTGGGGCTCCAGTGGTGACACCGTGGTCCCTGAGCTCCATGTTTGCAAATGTCAGAGCCAGCCTGGGCCAGGAAGTCCCGTTCAGCTGGGAATGAGCCACACTCCCATTCCCTTCTTTCACCTCATCCGGAGATTAAAAGAGGAGAAAAAAATACAATACAGAGCCCACAGGGGTCCCGGACTCCAGGATCTGGTTCCAGAAACAGAAAGGTTACTTTATTAGCTGTCACAGAAATTTCACTGTGACCCCAAAGTAATTTCCCCAGAGAGAGGCAAATCTCCAGGAGCCAGGAATAGACGAAAAGATTATTGCTCGCCCCGCTGGGCACACAGCGCCTGCATCCGGTGCTGGCTGGAAATCGAGCGAGCGGTGCTGGACGGGTGCCGACCCCCTCCCTTGCAGCAGAGGCCCCTGGGAAACACAGTCTTGACCGGCGGCAGGGTCGGGGCTGGGCTGCCCTGCAAGGGCTGAGACCGAGGGTTCAGAAGTGGATGCCTGCCTTCCTGCAGCGGGCAGAGGCTTTGAAACCAGCCCTGAGCTGGAATCCCATCTCCATTAAGCTCTAGCACTGGGGCCCTAAGAAAATGATACCCCACAGCCCTCCACCATCCCAGGCCTCAGTTTCCTCAGCGGTGAAGTGGAGATGTTGGGGAGGCACCGGCCTCTAGAGGGGCACAGGTAGGGTCAGATTCTTCCCTCCCTCAGCAGCACCAGGGCCAGAGCCCCCCACTGTCTCCAGATTACCCACCTGGGATGCAAGGCCAGGCGCCCAGCTGGGGTCCCAGGAAGAGCGCCAGTGGAAGGCCCCAGGGAAGGCCCCAGGCTGGGGCTCAGCTGCCCCTCCTCTCCTTTGATCTTCACCCAACCTCACCATTTTACAGATGAGGTGTGAGGTTCAGACATGTGAGAGTCCATGCCTGTCACACAGCCGCCCAATGTCCAAGTCCTGGTCCAGGCATTTTGCCCGAGGCCACCGTGCTGCAGGGGCGCTGTCCTGGTGGGACCATGTGTGGTTGCTGCATCTGTCCTGGAGAACAGTGCCTCGGGGCCAGTGAGTACGTGAGGAGGAGGTACCCAAGAAGGCTGCAGAGGCCAGCAGAAAAGCCCAGCCTGCCACTGACCCACAGTGTGACCTGGGGCATCAGTGTGTGACCTGGGGCAGCCCACTTCTCTAAGCCTTGATTTCCCTATCTGGAAAGTGGAGAAGATGACAGTCGCTGTTTCCTGAGGCATTGGGAGGGTGTGTGAGTGTGTGCGCTGCCATAACAAAGTACCAGTTGGGATGGCATCAACAATGGACATTTATTTTCTCAGGCCCGGAGGCTGGAGCTCTGAGATCAAGGTGTGGGCAGGGCTGGTTTCTCCTGAGGCCTCTCTCCTTGGCTTGCAGGTAGCTGCCTCTCCCTGTGTCCTCACATGGCCGTCCTTCTGTGTGTGTCTGTGTCTTCATCTTCTCTTGTTGTAAGGACACCAGTCCTGTTGGATTAGGACACACGACCTCATTTTAACTTAATCACTTAAAGTTTCCATCTCCAAAAACAGTAATCTCCTAAGGTACTGGGGGTTAAGACGTCAATATGTGAATTTAAGGGGGCACAATTCAGCCATTAACAGAGGGTTAAATGAATGAGAGTGTGGTAAAAATAAGTATTTGGTATTTATCCCTGGTTCTGACACAGAACTCTAAAATCCTTGGACTATTCAGAGTGATAGGAGTGTCTTTGTATGTAATGACGTGACTGGTGGCTCAGGGCCCCTGGAGAGCTGCGGGTCAGAGGACTGGAACTTTCAGCCCCACCCTCCACTTCTGGGGTGGGGAAAGAGGCTGGAGGTTGAGTTTAATCACCAATTGCCAATGATCTGATCAACTGTGCCCGTAGTAAAGCCTCCATAAAAACCCTCAGCAACGAGGTTCCGAGAGCTTCCATGTGTTAGGAGGGTGGCGACCCCACCCCAACTCCACAGGGACAGAAGAAGCTCCTGCCTCAGGACCGCCCTAGACACTGCCCTGTGGACCCCCTCATCTGGCTGTTCATTTGTATTCTTTCTAAGCTGGTAAATGTAAGTAGGATGTGTTCCTGAGTTCTGTGAAACACTCTAGCAAATCACCGAGCCTGAGGAGGCGGTCGTGGGAGCCCCTGATTTATTGGCAGTTGGTGGCCCAGAGCTTACAGCTGGGTTCTGCGGTGGGAGCAGTCTTGGGGGACTGGGCCTTAAACCTGCGGAGTCCATACCAACTTCCAGTAGTGTCAGGATGGAACTGAACTGTGGGACTTCTGGTTGGTGTTGGAGGAAGGAGGATGGAAAAGACACCATTGCATTTGGTGTCAGGAGGGAAATAAACCTCTCGGAGAGGGAAACCAAGGGAACTCCAGCTACCATGGTCTCAGCAGTCCAGGGCTACCAGTAGTAAGGGGTGTGGTGGATTCGAGTTGCCAGAATTGGTTGGTGGGTGAAGGGAGCTCTGGGGAGTCCTAGTGACCACTGCAAGGGGGGTAAGGACCAAACAGGTCAGCAGAACAGCTGAAAGGGAGCCTGTGCCCAGGACCTCAAGGAAGAGCAGGGGAGGGCCCTGGGGCACTTGTCCCAGGCAGGCACTCAGCACGACTGTCCCAGGGCTGGGCCCTTACCAGCCCCAGAACATTGGCTTAGGGGTTCTTTGCCTTCTACTTCCTTTGGCTTCTGCCCAGCATCCTCTCCCTGCTTCCTGGCTTGAGTCTCTTCAGTTGGAGGGTGACTGAGGCCTCGCTCAGTCTGCAAGCCCAGCTCTGGGTGTTTCCTGCCTCCTTGTTCTCTGCTTCTTTCCTGCTCTGCTCCATGTGACAGACCCTGAGCCCTGTAGCTCCTGGGTCTTCTGACTTCCTGCCGGGAGCGTAGGAGGCAGGCGAGAGGGTGGGGCAAAGAGAAATGGGGTATTTCTCCCATATTTCCTGCCAGGGTCCCCACAACCTCCTGCCACTTATCACTCCAGCTGAGGGGTGGTAGTCACTATCTGCTGTTGCAAACCTGTGGGTCATTTAAAATGTCCTCTGTTTGGCTTTTCAATTCCTCCAACACCTGTGTAACGAGCCGTCTGCATTAAATTCCCTCTGTTGTAATTCCTTGGAGTGCTTTCTCTTTTCTTAGTTGGACCTCGTCCACATGAATAAATGTGAGGACTTTTTCCTGAAGGCTTTGAAATAAAAGGAAAGGGTTCTATAAGTTACCTTGAAGAATGCTGCAATGATTCATTGTAGCCAGAGTCCTAAAACACTCAGGGGACGTACCAGATTTTATTCCAAGACCTTACAAGCAGTTTGCAAAAGCCCCTTTCTATTTCAGCAGGACTTTTAACTTCTTAGATTTCGCATCAGAACTGGTAAATCATTTCTCATGGATTTCTGTTCTTTGCCCAGAGAAAGTCTGAGTCAGAGATTTTCCCCCATCCCGTGTTTAGTCTACTTAGCCAAAGTGACCACAGACAACTTTGATATGACTCTTCTCCAAGTGAGATATTTCGTGACTGCCAATGTGTGACAATTCAAGAAGGTGGCTGTATTAGTTTCTTGTGGACGCTGTAGCAAATTATCACAAACTTGGTGGCTTAACACAACACAGATCTAGTCTCTTAATGTTCCTGAGGCCGGAAGTTTGCAATGAGTCTTTTGAAAGGCTGAAATCAAGATGGTGGCAGGGCAGCTTCCTTCTGGAGGCTCCAGGGGAGAATCCGTTCTTTGCCTCTTCAGCTCCTGGCCGCTGCCAGCGTTCCTTGGCTTGTGGCTGCATCACTCCAGTCTCTGCTCCATGGCCACATCGCCTACTTCTCTTCTGTATCTGATCTTCCACTTTGACATTTGTGATTACGTCTGGGGCCAAACTAATCTAGAATAGTCTCCCCGTCTCGATATCCGGAACTTCATCACATCTGCAGTTTCTGTTCCCACAGAAGGAACCATTCGCGGGTTCTGGGGATTAGGGAAGGGCTATCTGTGGGGAGCCACTATTCTGTCAACCGTAGTGTCTTTGGGAACTTCACCATGGCAGCTGTGTCCCAGAACAGTCTGTGTGTGAAGAGGTGTCTGCCCCCAGAACGAGCTTTCCAAAACCAGCTCTGACCAGGACACACCCTGCGTGTGACAGGAGGGCAGTTCCTGAGTTTTGCAACCCCAAGCCCAGCTCCCCACTGGCAGCCTGGGCCCACTGGCCTTCCTGGGATCCTTCTCATGCCTCTGTCACTGTCATTCAGCATCCTCAGCCCACCCACTTGCCATCCCATAAGCTGGCGGTGCTCCCTCTATGTCTTTGCTCACACCGCACTTACTGCCTGGGGCTCTGGTCTCCCTCCCCTGCCTGGAGAACTCTGCTCCTCCTTCCTAGCCCGTCTCCCTCTGGCATCTCTTCCTCCACCATCTCCCTGCCCTGTGCTCCTGCAGCAGGCCGCTCATGTCTTTACGTCTGTATGAACTCACCCAGGGCATCACGTGAGGGCTGTGGGATGCTGCCTGACTCCCAGGTAGGGACTCACCTACCTCTGTACCCACCATACCTAGCAACCACAAGGCACCACCTATGCATGGCTGGGAGAGAATATCACAGACCCAGATCCCAGGGTCTGGGACACAGCACTCAGAAAATGTGACTAGTGTTGAATCAAGCAAATGGATTATTTTGTTCTCATTTTATCAGAATGCTCTATTTCCCAAGTTGCCATTGAAAGAAACCATCCAACTTTGTTAGTTTCCTTTCTCAGTCTCCTACCTGGACATCAGGCAGGAGCCCAGTATTCTCTGCACGCTCACACTCTGTGCTCACTCTGCTGCGCACGTCACACGTGGACATACATGGATCTTTCCCACGGAGGTGAGAGCCAGGGTATTGGCAGCCCCTAGGAAGAGAGAAGCTCGCCTCTCACGAGCACAGAACTACTCTTCTTTCCTTGTCTTCCCACGTCCCATTGTGTCCTTTCCAGGGGACTATGAGCCCCAGGATGGAATTGTGCAACTGGTGCCATTGATGTCCTTAGGAAATCGGAACCCGTTTCTGGAATTCTTGACAGTGAGTGGCAGAATTCCAGTGGGCAGAGACCCAGGAACCTGGGGCCCCAGTGAAGTCACCTGTGTGTCTTTGTTAATTGCTTGCATGGGAGAAATTCCTTATGGGGTGTGATCGTTCTCGGGAGACAGGAAATGAATGTCCAATCAAGATAATGCAGCATATTCTGGATTAAGGTCTCGAAGTGACAGTTCCACCCAGAAGTTTCTGGTGCTCTTAAAAGTTCAGCATGACAGGCTGAGGCACGTGGGTCTTTCCAGGTGCACCTCAGGGGACAGAGTACCTGGCTGACCTCCCTGGCTGAACATACTTCCTGGGGACAGGTTGTGAAAGCTGACTCCAGAGCCTGCCTGGACAAGGAACATGAAAGGGCGACCCTGCACAGGGAAAGGCACGGTCAGTGGGGACAGAACTGTAGCAGAGTTCTAGCCATGCCTGGGGAGTGGTGCAGAGGGAGGTGGGGTTAGAGCCAGGCCATAGGTCAGGGAAAGGAAGTAGGGCCACACTGTAGACCCTCTAAGCAGAGGCTCAGACACTTGGACGGTAGCCAGTAGGCCATGGGGAGCCATAGAGGGTGGTGCAGGGAGGGACACAGTCAGGGCCATGTGCTCAGATCCCTCTGGCGTCAATGTGGAAAATGAGCTGGGGGAGGCAGTAGGGAGTGTGCAGTGTCCAGGCGAGAGTGCGTGCAGCCTCACCAGGAAGACCAGGAAGCGGCACTCAATGAATCTACATTTTACGCATGAAAAGAAGGGAGTGAGGGGAGCCAAAATTCTGCATTCATCTCCCACTCACTAAATCTACAGTTTACACAAGCTAAAGTAAGCATGCGACACTGCAGCTATCTGTTTGGGAAGAAAAGGAAGGCAGTTTTTGCCTGACTCAGTTTCTGAGCTTAACTTTCGCTTTGGCATGGTGAGTTTGAGGTCCTGGCATTTTGTTTTTCTTTCACACCGTGAGGCTCAGGCCGGGGAAGCAGGGCAACTTTCTCTAGAGGAAGGCAGAGGAGGGGCCCTTCGCTCGTGGGGTGTGGAGGGGAGGCCTGTGGTGTGGTGTGGGGTGCTGGGCTTGAGGTAGACGGGCCTGGTGGCGCCCCAGCTCTGCCCTGTGACCTTGGATGAGTCCCGGCCTTTCCCGAGGCGCATGCCCCATCCACTGCAGGATGAGGTAATACCCACCTCCCCAGGCTGTGAGGAGCTGTAAAGGCGCTGAAATGCCCTGGTGCCTGGCATGGGGCCCAACATACCTAAGTATTTGCCTGGCCCTCCCCGCACCTGGTTTACAGAGCAGTCGCGTGCCCCAGCCAATCACGAGCAGAAAAGAAGGTACACCCGCACCCCGGGTGCTGGGCCTGGGCAGCACTGGGGTGTGGTAGGGTCTCAGGACACTCACGGAGGGCCTGCCTGTCTGTGTGCGGGTAGGGAGCTGGCTTGGAAACAATAGGGAGGCAAAGGCAGCCCTGCCCCCACCCCCACGAGGCACCACTCCAGGGGCAGAGTTGCTTGCAGACCCTGCTTGCACAGCCCCCATCTGGGCAGATGAGCAGTTAAAATCCTAACACTGAGCCCAGTTCAGGAACAAAATGAGGCCCTGAAATGAATGATCACAGGCCAAGAGAGTGACAATGTCCTGGAGAAGCAGAAAACATCCTGTCCCCAGCCCAGCCCCAGCACACAATCCGGGCGCTGACATAATGAGGTCAGGAGAAGAGGCTGCCATCCTGGCTCGGGGGCTAAAAAGGCCTGGGCCGGGCAGGGGCTGCCAGCCAGGAGGAGCATCCAAGAGGCCCCGCTGGGCACCCTGCCGCGGCTCCTGGACACAGAGCACAGGCCCAGCTGGCAGTCACTCCGGACACTCACTCAGTCCTTGTCACAAGGAGTTCCGAGCAGCAGAATGAGGAAGGGGCCCTGGAAGCTGCCCCTGGTTCCCTGTTATCTTGGTAGGTTTTGATCCAGGAAGGCTCCTCCTCGTGCAAAGAGCTGGCTCCATGGTCCTGCAGGTTCTAGAGGGGATGGCCAGCCTCGGGGACTGCCCAGGGCACCTTCTTGGCTGGAGAGATGGCATCTTGGGAAGCCAGAGACCCTTCTCCCAGGAAATGCCTCGGGGAGCCCACAGCAGAAGGCTTGGTCACCTAAGGGGACACGATTGCTCAGGACTTTGGATTCCTCGTTCTCTTTTCCCTGTGATATCTGAGCCAGTGAGCATAGATGTGGGCTTTTGATGATACCCTCATTGCTGGAAAGGCTGGACTGGAGGAGAGGGCTTGGACCAGAGCCAAATTGGCTTCCTAATACTCCTTCCTCCCTGGATCAGGGATCAACATCCCCCACCAGAGGGTACATTCCTTAGAATTAATAAACCAATGACATGCCATCACCCAAACTCCACAGTTAACATTAGGGGACCACTCCTGGTGCTGGACAGTCTGTGGGTTTGGATAAATACACAATGACATGTATCCACCATTATAGTATCATACAGAATAGTTTCACTGTCCCCCAAATCCCCCGTGCTCCAACTATTCATCCCTCCCTCCCCCAGCCCCTGGCAACGAGTGATCTTTTCACCATCTCCATAGTTTTGCCTTTCCCAGAATGTCATCTAGCTGGAATCACAGCATGTGGCCTTTTCAGATAGCTTCTTTCTCCTAATAATATGCATTTAAGCTTCCTCCATGTCTGTTCCTGGCTTGAGAGCTCATTTCTTGTCAGCATTGAATAATAGAATATTATTCAGTGCTAAATATTATGTAGCTAAATAATATCCCAAACTGTGGCTGTACCACAACTTACCTACCCACTCACCTACTGAAAGACATCTTGGCTGCTTGCAGGTTTGGAAATTATGTATAAAGCTGCTATAATCATCTGTGTTCAGGCTTTTGTATGGACATACGTTTTCAGCTTCTTTGTGTAAATACCAAGGAGCAAGATAGCTGGAGCATATGGCAAGAGTATGTTTAGTTTTGTAAGAAACTGCTAAGCTGTATTCCAAAGGGCCTGTACCCTTCTGCATTCCCACCAGCAATGGACGAGGCTTCCCAATACTCCACATCCCTGCCAGCATCTGGTGGTTCAGTGTGCTGGATTTTGGCCATACTCATAGGTATGTAGTGGTATCTCATCATCATTATTATTATTTTTTGAGACACAGTTTTGCTCTTGTCGCCCAGGCTGGAGTGCAATGGTGTGATCACTGCAACCTCTGCCTCCCAGGTTCAAGCAATTCTCCTGCCTCAGCCTCCCCAGTTCCTGGGATTACAGGTGCCCACCACCATGCCTGGCTAATTTTTTTGGTATTTTTAGTAGAGACGGGGTTTCACCATAATGGCCAGGCTGGTCTCGCACTCCTAACCTCAAGTGATCCACCTGCCTCGGCCTCCCAAAATGCTAGGATGACAGGCGTGAGCCACCACACTGGCCTCATCGTTATTTTGGATCTGCACTTCCCTGATGGCATATGATGGGCAGCGTCTCTCGTATGCTTATTTGCCATCATCTATGTTCTTTGATGAGGAATCTGTGAAGGCCTTTGGCCCATTTTTAACGGGGCTGTTCGCGTTCTTATTGTTGAGTTTTAAGAGTTCTTTGTATACTTTGGATAACAGTCCTTTATCAGATGTGCCTTTTGCAAATATTTTCTCTCTCTCTGCGGCTTGTCTCACAGTCCGGTCTTCAAATGGCTGCTTCGGATCCCGCAGCAGTAGGGAAGTTGGTGGGGTGGCAGGCTGCAGGGGGTGGTGTGCGGCATCCACCACTTCTGGCGGCTCATCTACAGGGATGGACCACAGCCAGAGCAGGATCTGCGCCCGGATGGCAGCACAGAGCGCGATCGCAGGTGGAAGCTGGTCTGTGTCCGGCAGTGGGACATGCGTGGGAGTGTGCACGAAAACAGGGTGGCCCAGGCATTCCCAATGGGGCAGCCACTAGACATGGTAAACACAGAGGTGAAGAAGCAACACAGAAAAACGTGGGTCATCTAATGAGGAAGGGGAGAATGCAAGACGAAAAGCGATGAGCTGAAGTTGAGACTAAGAGGGCATTTGCACAAGGCTGTAGACTAGGTAGGAATCCACAAAGATACGGAGAATTCTCTTGGGTTGATGGGCTTGAGGGTGGGTTTTTCTCTTTTTCATTTTTCAAACAGTGGATAATGGTCTTATAGATCTTTGTTTATGAAATAATTATTTGTATACAAAATGCCTGATGTCTAACATCTCTGCTGCCTTTCCTGACCACACTAAACGGAGACTTCTACAAAGACACTGAAGGAAGCGGCAGGAATGTGAGCCCCTTTGGTTGCCCCCCCTGCTGTGGAGAGAATAGAGGAGGGAGTTCCCACCTCAGAGGTGAACTCAGGACCCCACCGTGGCACCTTTTCTGGGTGTGTGTTCACCGGAGCACAAGTCCATCGGGAGCGGCTGGCCCCCAGCCCTCTGAGCCCCATGGGCAGGCAGTAGCAGAAGATGCCTCTGCCACGGCACTCTCAAGACACAAATTCATCAGGCTCTCCTGGTTAGTCAATATCAAAGCATCTTTCCAAGTAAAAGCCGAGAGCAGATAGCAAGACAGTCATTGGAGGCAGATGCTGGTGCACTGCAGCCATCTTTGAAGCTGCAGATGGCCGGCCTGCCATTCACCGCGGCTTCTCCCAGCCCCTCCAGTTGCCGGCAGACCCAAACTCTGCATTCATTGAGTACCACTGAATGCCAGACGTGTGTTGGCCGGTTGCACCACTGATATCTCGTTTGATTTCCATACATCTCAAAACTGCCCTGTGGTGTCAATGTTCAGATCCACCTTTTTGCGGATGAGGAAACTGAAACAGAGGTGAGCGCGGGAAACAGCCACCATTGGCTTTATTTTATTTTTATTTATTTATTTATTTATTTATTTATTTATTTATTTATTTATTTTGAGATGGAGTCTTGCTCTGTTGCCCAGGCTGGAGTGCAGTGGCGCGATCTCGGCTCACTGCAACCTCCACCTCCTGGGTTCAAGCGATTCTCCTGCCTCAGCCTCCCGAGTAGCTGGGAGTACAGTCATAAGTTACCATGCCCGGCTAATTTTGTATTTTTAGTAGAGACCGGGTTTCCCCATGTTGGTCAGGCTGGTCTCGAACTCCTGACCTCAGGTGATCTGCCTGCCTCAGCCTCCCAAAGTGCTGGGATTACAGGCATGAGCCACCAAACCGGCCGCAACCCTTTACCCTTTGCTTTGGATTTTACAGGCTGCTTTGCGTTTTTCTCCGCTGGCCAGGCATGCGTTGTCTCCATCTTACAGAGGAAGAAATTCTATGCCCCAAGGCATGTCAGTGGTCGGTGGAGAGAGGCTGAAGCCTCCAGAACTGGATGGCAGCCTGGGCGCTCGCTTCCCTGACAGTCCATCTCCTGAGGAGGAGGCGAGGCCAGGACCCCTCTTGGGTTTTCTCCAATGAGCGGGGTGCCCTAGATCACTTACTGAACCCCCTCTGTGTGGTATTTTTACACCCATGATAACACTGAATCCTCCAGAAGGCCTGGGGGAGTTGGGAGGAGAGATTATCATCTGCATTTTATGGATTCAGTGTCTGTAACTCAGAGGATAAATAACTTGCCAGGGCGGCCCAGCTAGTGCTGTCAGACCCTGAGCCATAACTGTGACAGCTCAGGTTTAATTGGGGGATTTTTACTTCAAGGAAGAAAGTCTAGGACCATTAGTCCTGACCTGCAGAACCGCGAATGACTACAACTGCCCTTATATTCCAGTTCTGAGCGTTGCCGGTGTGTCTTGTCCTGGCCCTAGCACTGCCTCCCTCTTTGTTCAGCTCCAGAGAAGAGCATGAAGTGTTCTCTCTCCAACTGATGTGCACATTTTACTGTCTGTCCGGGGGCAGCAGCAGAGCAGAGGACATGACTGGGCCCTGGATCAAAGGGTTTTCCCTGAAGCCTGGCTGTTCCGTGTGTGCGTCCCGCAGAGCACAGTGCTTGCCCTAGAATGCTGGGCGGGCAGGCCCAATTTCACATTCACACGACATTCCATGCCCAATGCGGCGAAGATGTTTTAACAAGCACCTCCATAGCCTGTAGGCTTCATCCTGGAGAGGACTGGAGAGTTGCTTTGGCACCTAATGCAGGGCAAGGCAGTGTGAATGAATGAATGCAGGATGCATGAATGAATAGCTGCGGGCCTGCAAGGGAGGCTGCTTGATTTTCTTCCTGTCCGCTGCCTTGGAGCAGGGAGCAAGCGCGTTACTTCCCCTAAGGCCAAGCAGCTGAGAAAGGGCCCTAGATAGGAAGGAAGAGGGCCTTAGGTTCTGCTATTTATTTGTGTGACAATGAGAAAGTCACTTAATTCTTCCAAGTGTCAATTTCCTCATCTGTAAAATGGGCTTTTTCCACCTGTTGGTCCTCAGCCCTCCTGGATTATCTGCTGGATTAGGGTGAGGGGCCACAGCTACCATGTTTGCAGACGCGCAGACATCTCTGTCTGGAGCACCCCAACATTAAAGTGAGCATTATTGTGAGGCACAGCGTCATGGGCAGGCCGGGATCCAGGCAGTGCTCCCAGCTCTAGGTCCTTGGTCTGCGGTAGCCCTCACCAAGCCTCAGTTTCCTCGTGGGTAACCTGAGGACGGTGATGAATGTGACTACAGGACTGCCGTGCTAGAGTAGGATCAAACAAGGAGAGGGGACGTGCCAGGGCTGTGTGTGTGTGTACATGTTTGCACTTGTATGCACAGATGCCCCTCGACTTACAGTGAGGTCACATCCCCATCCACCCATCCGAGGTGGAAGATGCATTTACTGCCCCTAACCTATCGAGCATCGCGGCTCAGCCCAGGCTACCCTCACAGGAGCCTACGCTGGGCAAATTCATCTGGCACAAAGCGTATCTCATAATAAAGTGTGGAATGTCTCCTGTAATGTGTTGATTACCGTACACCATAGATCACTGGTTCATTCTCATGATCACATGGCTGACGGGGAGCTGCGGGTCCTCCTGCTGCCAGGATTACCAGATAGTATTGTGCTGAATATCACTAGCCCAGTGAAAGATCAAAATGCAAAATTCAGGCTGGACCCAGTGCTTCATCCCTGTAACTCCAGTGCTTTGGGAGGCTGAGACTGGAGGATCACTTGAGGCCAGGAGCTCAAGTCCAGCCTGGGCAACATAGTGAGACCCTGTCTCTACAAAAAAAAATATAAGAATTAAAACTTAAAAAATTAGTCAGGCGTGGTGATGTGTGCCTGGGGTCCCAGCTACTGGGAAGGCTAAAGTAAGAGAATTGCTTGAGCCCAGTAGTTCCAGGCTGCAGTGAGCTATGATTATGCCACTGCACTCCAGCCTGGGTGACAGAGTGAGACTGTCTCTAAAAAATTAAAAAATAAATAAATAAACTTCAAAATTCAAACTGTACTTTCCACTGAATGTCATTCACTTTTGCACAGCCATAAAGTCAGAAAATTATAAGTCACATCATCATTAAGTCAAGGACTATCTATAATCATGATTTATAATTATTTATAATTATACTCAGTAATTATACTACAATTATAATGACATAGTCTGGTAATTTATCCTAACTGTATTGCCAGAGGACAAGGGACAGTTTGGGGTCTTCAGTGACAGTCCCCGGCGTTACGTGGAAATGCAGAGTGATTTTATTCCCTGCATCTTCCAGAAACATGGGGAGGCTGATGGATGGCGACCACGTGGGGGTGGGTGAGTGGGTAGGTGCTGACAGGTCCCGTCCCTCCCAGCTCCCGGCCTGCTGGGTTGCTGTGGCTCAGGGACGTGCAGACAGCGGGGGGATGATGTGCCTCTGAATGGGCCACCTTTGGGCACGCTTGCTTGTCTGAGCTGCCCACGTAGCTGCTACCTGCTGGCCCTCTGGCCCTCAGTCCCCAGAGCCAAATGTCTTTTCTGACTTGTTTTTGCTCTCAGTTGCTCAGCAGCTCTGTTACTGTCAAGGCTGACATCGTGTCTAACGTTAAGCAGAAGAGCCAGTCAGAGTGGCTTTTGGGAAAATGCAGCTGCCTGTGGGAAGTGTCAGGATTCGGGCAAGAACGTGCAGGAGCTTTGTACCTAGAAGGTGCTGGGTGCTGGGTGAGTCCCTTCAGACAGCATGTTCCTTGCACAGAGCTGGGAACTGTCCTTCTCGGAGCCCCAGGGGCTCACCTATTATCCAGACACTGTGCGCTCTTCAAAATCTTGCTTGGAGATGTGGGCATAAGGATTAGCTACGTTTTTATACAATCTCAGGACTGGGGAAAGTGAAGGGCCCTGAGATAAAGTCCTCATTTTACTGGAGAAGCTGAGGCCTAAAAAGAAAAGGCATGTCCGACATGACCCATGGAGGAGCTGTCAGGGCTGGGAGGCCCCCTGGGCAGCCTCAGCCCCGCCCATATTCACTCCACCCCCCGGCGTTCTTCACCTCACAAGCACCTTTTGCCTGTTTGGTGCCTGCGTGTATGCGTGTGTGTTTTGAGACAAAGTTTCACTCTTGTTGCCCAGGCTTAGAGTGCAATGACGCCATCTCAGCTCACTGCAACTTCTGCTTCCCGGGTTCAAGCGATTCTCATGCCTCAGCCTTCTGAGTAGCTGGGATTACAGGGGCCTGCCACAACGCCCAGGTAATTTTTGCTGTTTTTTGTAGAGACGGGTTTCACCATGTTGGCCAGGCTGGTCTCGAACTTCTGACCTCCGGTGATCTGCCTGCCTCAGCCTCCCAAAGTGCTGGGATTACAGGTGTGAGCCACTGTGCCTGGCCCTGTCTGCTCTGTTAATGGAGTGAATTTCTGTTTCCGACAAATGGCAGTGGGCAGGGCCTTTGGAAAACATCTGCATGAGAGGAGAAGGCAGACTTTGATGGTGTGGAGTGGGTAGCATGCTTATCTTGTGCTGAGACTTTAATCCATTACCAAATTCGGTTTCCCTACACAGATATAATTACTCCCACCTTATGGATAAAGAAAATGAGCTCAGAGAGGCTGAGTGATTTGAGAAACATCACACAGCTAGTAAGGGCGGGTTCTGGTTGGAAATCCAGGTTCTTCCAGATCCAAGTCCAGTGTCTGCCCAGTTACGTGTTGCTCTTCTCCTATAGAGAAATATTTTTCTTATTGCGCATACTCATTAGGTCAACCTATATCTCCAAAAACCAAATCATGACCGTTTTTACTGATATTGCACTTCAAAAACAGTTTGGGTTACACTGTGGGAACTTTTCACAGTTCCAGAACCTTTTTCCCCAGACCAGCCTATTTATTAAGAGAAAATGGAAACAAGGGAGCAGAGAGTGTTTTAAGCCTCCTGGTCAACAAAGAACACTAGTTATCCCCTCCTGGGCTGGGCCCTGCGGCTCCCTGGGGTTGGGATCCTGTGACCCCCCCACGCCAGGGAGGGAGACATTCTGTTTTTATTTCTGCTTCCATGAGGGTTTTCCTTGGGAATGGAACTCTGTTTCAGGTTCTACAAATAAATTGAAAATAACCAAGACCCCCATGAGGTCAGCCCTCCCCGCAGGATGGGCATGAAGACCACCCCAAAGTGGAGCAAGTTTCTCATTGTTTGGGAGATTCTTTGCCCTTTCAAGGCCCAAAGCCCACATTCCCCTTGTGCTGTAGCCCGAAGGACAGAGTCACATCTCAGGGAGGGGAGGGGGAAAGTGGGGGAGAGGGGAGGGGGAAAGAGAGGAGGGGCAGGGGAGGAGGGAGGTCACATCTCAGGGAGGGGAGGAGGAAAGGGGGGGAAGGGGGGAGGGGAAGGAGAAAGAGTGGGAGAGGGGAGGAGGGAGGTCACATCTCAGGGAGGGGAGGAGGAAAGTGAGGAGGGGGAGGAGAGGAGGAAAAAGGGGGGAGGGGAGGAGGAAAGAGCGGGGGAGGGGAGGAGGATAGAGGTGGGGAGGGGAGGAGGAAAGAGCGGGGGAGGGGAGAAGGGAGGTCACATCTCAGGGAGGGGAGGGGGAAAGGGGGGAGGGGAGGAGGAAAGAGAGGAGGGGCAGGGGAGGAGGGAGTGGAGGCTTCACTGACCACCTGTCCCATATGGCCTGTGCTGGCACGAGTGCTGCCCACGGGCGCTCTTGTTTGATCTGCTTGGCAGCCCCACGGAAGTGCATCTATTCCCCCCATTTCATAGAAGAGGAAAGTGAGGAGCGTGGTATGCTTTCCCTAAGCCGTGTGGCTGATAAGTGACGAGACTGCGGTAGAAACTCAGACTTGCTGAAAACAGTTCTTGGTTCAGCTTTTCCCTGAGACTGAAAACAAGTGTTAGAACTTCAGGCAAGTTAAATTTGATGGAGTTTACTTGAGAAAACAAAAAAGAGAAAAAGAAATGATTTGTGAATCCAGCAGCCTCCAGAATCACAGCAGATTCAGAGAGACTCCAGGGGTGCCTCGTGGTCAGAACGAATTTATAGACAAAAAGGGTAAAGTGACACACAGGAATCAGAGGTGCGGTACAGAAAGAGTGAGACTGGTTACAGCTCGGCGTTTGCCTTATTTGAACGCAGTTTGAACACTCAGCGGTCTATGAGTGGTTGAAGGATGGCCGCTGGGATTGGCCAAGACTCAGCTGTTGTTACAGGTGCATACTAGTAAGTTAGGTTTTCAGTTTTGCCTGCCTATTAAGCTAGGTTATGGTTCATCCACAAGGACTCAGATATAGAAGTACTGAGTCCTTCTCAGGCCATATTTAGTTTGCTTTAACACGAGGTGGGGAGAAGAGGAGGAAACCCCACACGCCGACATTAGGGACTGGGCCAGCACATGGGGAGGCATAGGGATGCCCAGTCTGCAACCCACTGCCCCCCAGCACTTTCTCATCTACAAAACAGGCTGATGCTAATCATAGTGACCCCAGGGTTTGCTGTGCAGATTAAAGGAGATAATTCAGGTCGTGGTGCCGAGCCCAGTGCCTGGCACAGAACAGGTTTGCAGTCAGTGTTTACTGTCGTTACCGGTGACCTCAGCTTTGCATGGGAGAGAAGGGTGGAGGCTCGCCTTGGCTCTGCTGTTCCTGTGTCCTCAGCCACTGACCCTCCATGCGACTGGCTCTTCGGCTTAACGTTAGACCAATGTCAACCTTGACGAGAACAGAGTTCCTGAGCAACTGAGAGCAAAAACCCAGTCAGAGAAGACATTTGGCTCTAGGGACTGAGGGACAGAGGGCCAGCAGGTAGCAGCCACTGAACTTTGGCATGGCCACAGCCACGTTAGACACCGGGTGATGCCCCTCACCTTAAAAGCGAGTGCCAACGCCTGGGTGGAGGAGGACAGGGAGCAGACAGGATGGGGCAACTGTGTTTGCTGCGTTCATTCCACAAGTGTTTCTTGAGCATCTGCCATAGGTCAGACTTCATTCCAAGCACTATGAAGTGGATGAGGCAGGCAGAGTCCTTGCTCTCCTGGGGCTTCCATTCTAGAGCTGTGGGGCAGGCTGGGGGTGGTGACAGTAAACCTGTAATTGCATGATCCTAGTCTTTGCATGATACCTGGATCTCTGCAGTCCTGCCAGAATCAGGGCCACATGGCTTACTGTGCAGGCGTAACAACCAAGGATTTAGGCCAGGCCTGCCTCCCAGTGCCGACAAGCAGAGGGTGCTGCACGGACTGGAGGCTTGTTTCTGATCTTCTCTCTCTAATCCTCTCCATCTCCAGCCTGCCACCTACAAAGGACTTGGTGTGGCCACAGCTTAGGCTCCACAGCGTGGGTCACTGTGGGGCTGGGAGGCTGGTGAAAGGGCTGGCCAGCCGCCTGGCACCCAAGCACCAGTGGGTTTGAGTGGGGGTTGAGTAGGTGGCTCTGCCTGAGGGCAGCAGGCCGATACCAGGCAGCTGGGGCAAGTGGCACTCATGCTAGAGTGAGACCCCATGGCCGAGATAGGTGCACAGGGGCTGGTTCCAGTTTCTTGCTAAGGGGACAACAGAATCAGGATCTCTCCAGGAAAGCTGGAACGTAGGGGAAGGACTCCACTGCATGGAGGAACTTCAAGCCTTAAGTCTAATAGGGCAAGAAAACTGAGGGTGGAGCCCACATGAGAGGTCCCAGCTAGCCGGATAATTATCCTGATGGTAGTAATAATAAGAGCCAACCTTCAAAGAATACATACAGTCTCATATTCTATGTGTATTATATCATTCAGTCCTCACCACCCTGAGGTAGGTGCTATCATTATCACATTTTACACATTATGAAACCAAGACACAGAGAAGTTAGGTAACTTATCCAAGATCACACAGTAACCAAGTGGCAGACCTAGGGTTTGAATCAGGGCACATGAGTGCCAAGTCCTCCAGACACTGGGTCCTCCACAGGCCTGACTTCTGCAGCCCCACTCACTGGCAGCCCAGGGCTCCTTCCTCAGGGCCCATCCTGAAGTGAGGAGAAACTCTTGACAGAGAGGCCCAGGACTGAAAAACAAACCCGAATAAATAATAGGCTCTGAATAAATGTTTATTAATTGAACTTGACAGAAAAAATGCAATTTTCTTTGGGCCCAAGTCAGAGGTTGTTGTTGCAGCCCAGGTTCAGAACGTCCTCGTTTCTGCGGGTATTTTGTGATCTTTATCCTAATGGTGGAGACAAGCCACATGTGTTCTGCTAATGAACTCCGTCTCCTTGGCCTGGATGAAGCGGGCAGCAAGGTGAGGGAGGCATAACTCCCTGTAGAAATGAGTATTCCCCGTCTAATCAGACGGGGCTGTTCTTGAGCATTCTTTCAAATGTCGCTTTATCGTTGAGGGTTGGATTTCCGTCTGATATGGATCCTGTGGTTTTCTGCTGTATAATGATATCTCGCTGGGGGAATGGGGGATGGAATGGGGAGGCAGGGCTGTGGTTTTCTCCCAGAGGGAGAATCCAGAATGTTGCGGGCGTGATTTCCCCCTTTGGGCAGTGATCGGAAGCACAGCTCTGCTACTAGAAAGAGGTCAGATTCTTTACCTGTAAAAATACTGGCGAGGTACACGTAGCGAGGAAGGCAGGACTTCTTGGCGTCAGTCTGAAGGCAGTAATCAGCAGGGTCAAGCCTCTGAGCTTAGATTGGCATGTGTGTGCACACATGTGTGCATGTCTGTGTATGTTTTGTGTGAGTGTGTCTGTTTACATCCTTCTGTTGAACAGATGCATGTGTGTTGTATGTGTTGTATGTACATCCAGAAGAGCCATCCGTTGGGAAAGACTGGCACCGCCTCGCCCAGCATTCCAGTAAGCACAAGCCTCCTTTCAGGACCAAACGCTGCTGACACTGCTGACAGTGCTGAGTGAATCAGATCGTGATTCATTCAACAAGCACTATTTGGTGGCAGGTCCTATGCTCATGCTGAACTGCACAAGGCCCCTAAGTCTCAGGAAGCTCCAGGTCTCCTGGGAAAGAATTATACCTGGGGAGGGCTGAGAGAGGAGAGGAGGCCAGATCTCGGGCTGTGGTCAGGTTGTGATGGGCCTGAACCGGAGGCTTTGCCATCATCCTGTGTGTTGACAGCCTGCCCTCACCCTCAGCTCCTCCCTGCTATGCTCTCCATCTGAGAATGCAGCCCCTGCCCTGGGGGCTGTGTGCTTAAACTAGATTCCGGGGTCATCCTTAGCAACTCCCACTCCAGATCTCATCAGTTACCTACTTAACTGTGTGACCTTGGACAAGTTATTTAATCTCTGAACCTCAGTTTCCTCATCTGTGAAATGGGAAGGATACTACTACCGGCTTGAAACGATTAAGTGAGATAATGTTCACAAAGCACTCAGCACATACAAATGATTTTAAAATAGGCATGGGTATGGTTAATCCTGTCTGCTGAATACCTGTGGAAGCCACCCATCTCCCTCTAACCCCTCCGTATCATCCTGGTCCAACTACATCTCCTCCTGGGCCCCACCCCTCCGGGCTCACTCCCAGCAGCCAGACCAGCAGCACTGCCTCCCTCGGGGTTTTCCCCAAGGCCAAGCTGATCCAGGCACCAAGGAGAAGACAGGTGCCGAGCTCCGGTCAGCCACGATGGAGGCCCGGGGAGCCTCCTGAGGGAGGCAGGCCAGCTGCAGGGCTGTCTCTTTGCGCATCTCTAAGACTGAACCTCTCAACAACCCGGATGCTCATCTCTTGTCTATATTGGGTCCCTGGCAACTAGTTGGTCATCATGTTTTACACATTATGTAAGCAATCCAGATGTACAACAACCTGGATGCTCATCTCTTGTCTATATTGGGTCCCTGGCAACAGTAGGTCACCAGTATGTAGTCAACGAGCGAATGAATGAATGAATGAATGAATGGGAGGGTTTAGACTCAGTGAGAATGGCACTGGGGCAGCTGATGTTTGGGACTCTCATGACTTGGCCTACTGTTTCTGGATCTCTGGCTCTGCCCCAGCTTCGTCCGCCCTCCCTGGTCCCATCCTTCAGGGCCCAGCTCTGACTTCACCTCCTGAAAGCTCTCTCTGGTCCCATCCAGCCCTGGAATCACCTCCCTCGGAAGCCCTCCCTGGCCTCACCCAGTACCTCCTCTCCCTTATCCTGCCCCTGATGTCTGCAGTTGTGCCCTCGAGGAGTTTTCAGTCTTTCTTGTTTGCCTGTCTACCTCCCGCTAGGCTGGGAGCTCTCTGTGGGCAAGAACCTCGTGCTCACTCTTCTGCATCCCCTTGTGCAGCAGGGCTCGGGCACAGATGTGGCGTGGGACAGTCTGCTGACTGCCCACCTCACCGCCGCCCGCACAGTCCCCTTGCCCTCATGGAGCCAGGGCGGGATGGGGGCAGCACTGTCCTCTGGTGCCAGCAGTCAGCACATTGGAAGTATCTGCAAGGGGCGTCCCTCGTGTCCTCTGGCTGTGGAGAGGTCAGGAGACAGTAGAAGTGTTCGTGGAGGCCGGCTGGCAGCAGCAAGCCTGTGCAGAGAGGCAGCAGGGTGAGCCGTGCTCCAGGGCCCGGGCCCGGGGAGAAAGAGGCCACAGCCTGTGCACTGAGGGTGGGGGGCAGGACGGTTTTTAGACGTTCGACTGATTTGGAGCACAGTGTTTACTCAGCCTGGTGGCTCAGTGTCTGCAGCACTCCCACTGTGGCACAGACCCACGTCACTCACCCAGCAAGGCGGGCTCGTCCCCACTGAGCACTGTAACTGGCACCATGTGGACCCCACTGGAGAAAAGAGTGTGTCATTGCACCAAGCAAGATGCCAGGATCCTTGACTGGAGCTCCTTCCTGGGAGAGTCAGAGGCTGAATCCAAGCAGCCCAGCTCACTGGGGCAGAGAGAACCAGCACTCACATATTCCGGGTTTCGTGCTGAGAAACTGAGGCACAAACTGTTTAAAAACCTGCCCTCATCTTATTGTGGAAGCAGAGAGGCAGGTCAGCAGCAGCTGCATTTTGGGTGCCATTTCTGGCTCTCCTTTCACCCCACTCCACTTCATACCCCCTTGTTACCTCCTCCCACTCCCCACCCCTACCCACACCTCCACACGTCATCACCTACCTAGGTGGGCTCGATGGTCTTGCTTTGCCTTCAAGCAGGGCTGTGGGATGTGGCTGCCTTAGCTGGGTTGGGTTTCTGAGAAGCAGTCCCAGGGACTACTTGCTTTCCTGGTTGCCTTTTTTTATTTAGTTGGAGTCTCACTCTGTCACTCATGCTGGAGTGTAGTAGTGTCATCTCAGCTCACTGCAACCTCCGCCTCCCGGGTTCAAGTGATTCTCCTGACTCAGCCTCCCAAGAGGCTGGGATTACAGGCACACACTACCATGCCCAGCTAATTTTTGTATTTTTAGTAGAGACGGGGTTTCACCCTGTTGGCCAGGCTGGTCTCGAACTCCTGACCTCAGTTGATCTGCCCACCTCGGCCTCCCACAGTGCTGGGATCACAGGCGTGAGCCACCACACCGGCCCTGGTTGCCTTTTTTTACACATTTACCTGCCTTTGGAGAAGTGGTAAATGGGAGGGAAAACAAGTCCTTTTTTTTTTTTTAAAAAAAGGATATTTGTAGTTAATGCCAGAGCCACGGCACTCTCCCAGACCCTCTGCCAGGTGGTGGTGGTGACATAAGGTACATACAATTCCTGCCCTCTGAGAGCTTGCAATCAAGTAGATAAATCATCTGCCAGCAGGTGGTAGATACTCATTTACAGCACTGCTGTTGCTGTGGGAATAACAAAGTCACCTGATGCTGTTGCTGATGCTGGCCCAGCACAGGGCGGAGTTGTTTCCCCACATGAGATCAACAGAGGAGAGCGTGACAGCAGAGGGCCAGGGTCCCCCTTCTCAGCTCCCTCTGTAAAGCTGGGAGTCTTCCCACTGCAGGACCGGAGCACACAGCAGCATGAATTATGTGCCCTCTTGCTGTCCTAGCCCCAGCTGCAGGCTGGTTACATCAGCTTGGACTTCATGCTTGGGGCACAGAGAAGCTGTCAAAAATGCAAGCAGATTGGGCTCAGATCTAAGGAGCTCCCAAGACCTTATCTGCAGATGGAAACAGACATTGGATAGACAAAAGAGGAAACTGACACCCACCCACCTCCCCAAATAATAATACTTAGCTTTTACAACAATACCGCACTTCCCCTAAGATTCAGGCATTCCCAACTTCTTAATAAATGCTGTTTCCTTTGCCTGGAACCCTCTGCTAACCTTGTCCAATTCCCCATCCCCACATAGGCTAATGAGACCTTCCCAGTTACCCCAAGCTAAGAGCAATCATGCAGCCTGTGATCCATCTCATCTGGAACTTCTCTCTTGTAACTGTCATCACTCTTCATTGTAATTACTTGATCAGCTGTCTGTCTTTCCCATTGAACTAAAGTTTGGTGAGATCAGAAACCATGTCTTATGAACTCCTGCATTCTCAGTGCCTGGCACAATTCCAAGCACTGAAGTAGAATAAATGGGAAAGAATCTTGAGGATAATTGAACATATGATATAAGAAAAGTTTACTGAGAAAGTTCTGTCTTTCTATCAAAGGACTCGTTGAATTCAAGGTAAATTGGAAAACGCCACCTGGATTTCATGTAGCAAGTTATTTTAATTTAAAGGGTAAAAATCTATTCTACAAGCATTCAAGGGGGAAAAAATCTACCATAAACAGTCATGTGACCAATATCTGCAAATTATCCAAAAGCAAAATAGCCTCAAATTTCTCCATGGTTCTAAGCATCAGAAGACAGTGGAACTGTGCCTACAGAATTTGTTTTGTTTTGTTGTTGAGATGGGTCTTGCTCTGTGTCCAGGCTGGAATGCTATGACAGTCATAGCTCTCTGTAACTTTGAACTTTTGGGCTAAAGTGATCCTCCTGCCTCAGCCTCCCAAGTAGCTGAGACTACAGGCAGACACCAGTATGCCCAGCTATTTTTTTTTTTGTAGAAATGGGTCTTGCTATGTTGCCCAGGCTCAGAATTGGAATAGAAAAAGTTGTACTCAACAATTCCATATATGGCTGTGCTGTCATTCTTGGGTGAAGACTGGAAACAACATTTCCAGATGATGTACAGTGTCTCAGGCTCTATATTACTTAGCATTTCTGAGAAAACTGCTTAGCATATGTAATCAGTCAAGGAAAAAAGGAATCAAAATCAGAATCCAGAGAGGAAAGTCTATGTGAGCACCAAAATCAATGAAATATATTGAGACACTGAAAATTTAAAATTATAGTCACAAAATCAAATCCAAAAATTATTTTTCAAAAAAAGAGTAAAATGTTAAAAATGTCATATCACTTGTGATACGTGCACTTTTATGTATATTATGCTTCACCAAAAAATAAAGAACTGTGCAAAAATATGATCTCTGTAATCCCAGATTACATTAATAAAGACTGGAAAATTAAGGAAGGGGTAGAGAAGTAAAGAAAGATATACAGAATTCCAAAATCATTGTGTGTAGAACAGACTTTAGAAGTTATTTTCTTCTTGACTTTGGGAATTGGAGAACTGTAAATTTGTTTATATTTAGTGGTAAGAAGAAAATTAGCCAGGATGGAAAAATGTAAAATGAAAACTGGGTTTTCTTTCCCTTCCTTTACCTCTAGTTCTTTTTGAGGAAAGTAGCCACAATTAACAGATTATTATATATCCTTACAGAAAAAAAATGTATCCATGCTCCACAAACTCACACAAATGAGGTCACACTACTCATACCTTATATTTTCAAAGAATAATATATCATAGAGATCACATTGTCACATGCAGATCTTTCTCATTCTTTTTAGAATAGTATTCCATTGTGTGAATGTACCATGATTTATTTCAACCACTCCTCAATTGATCGATACTTACGCTGCTTCCATTTTTACCATTATATACAATGTTACAGTTACACGTACATTCATGAGTGTGTTTATAAGGAAAAACTCTGTCAATGGACTTGCCTAGTCAAAGATGAAAACTTTCCCTTAAATTGCTGATAGTTTTGCCACATTGCCCTTAAAATGATGCCGACTTATTCTCTCAGTAACATTACACACAAGTTTCTATTTCCACACATCTTCATCAGCACAGAGTATTGTTAAACTTTAAATGTTCTACCAATGCTATAGGCAAAAATAGTATCTTGCTTGGATTTTAATGACTTTAATTATGTATGAGGTTGAATATTGAGGTGAAATTCATATAGCACAAAATTAAGTGAACAACTCAGTAGCATTTAATAAATTCACAGCGTTGTGCAACCACCACCTTTATCCAGCTGCAGAACACTTTCATCACCGCAAAAGAACCTATACCCATTGAGCAGTCATTCATCCCCCATTTCCCCCTCCTCCCAGCTCCTGGGAACCACCAGTCTGCTTTCTGTCTCTATGGCTTTATATATTCTGTATATTTCATGTAAGTTATACAACACCTTTTGTCTGGATTACTTTATTTAGCATATTTTTTTCAGTTCATCCACATTGTAATATGTATCAGTACTTCATTTCCTTTTATGGATAAATAATAATTTCATTCCATGTGTGTATCACAGTTTGTTTACCTATTCATCTTTTGATGGGCATTTGGGTTGTTTTCACCTTTGGCTATTGTGATTAGTGTTGTTGTAAACGTACATGTATGTATTTGAGTTCCTGTTTTCACTTCTTTGGGGTATATAACAGGGAGTGAATTTGCTGGGTCATATGGTAATTATCTGTTTAAGATTTTGAGGAACCACCAAACATTTTCACAGGAGCCGAACAATTTTACATTCCTACCAGCAGTGTACAAAGGTTCCAATTTTTCCACATCCTCATCAACACTTGTTATTTTCTGGGTTGTTATTGTTGTTGGTTTAACCTTCCTAGTGGGTGTGAAGTGGTATTCCACTGTGGTTTAGATTTGTGTGTTGCATGATTAATAGTGTTGAGCATCTTTTCATATCCTTGTTGGCTGTTTGTGTATCTTCTTCAGCAAAATGTCGATTCAAGTCCTTTGCTTATTTTTGAATAGGGTTGTTTGTATTTTTATTGTTGAGTTGTAAGCGTTTTTTAATTTGATTATATATTCTAGATATGTTCTGAATTACTATTAGTATTGTCAGATATATGATTTGAAAATGTATTCTTGCATTCTGTATGGTGTAGTATTACTTTTTTGATAATGTCCTTTAACACACAAAAGTTTTGATGAAATTGTACTGCATTTTGATGAAGGTTTTTCTTTCGTTGCATGTATTTTGGGTGTCATATCTAAGAATCCACTTCTAAGTCCATTGTCATGAAGATTTATCTGTGTTTTCTTCTAAGAATTTTGTAGTTACAGATGTTATATTTAAGCCACTGTTTCGCATTAATTTTTGTATTTGGTGTGAGGTAGAGGTTCAGTTTGATTCTTTGGCATGTAGATATTGAGTTTGACTCTCAATTCTCAATTTATCCATTGGTCTATATCTATCCTTATGCCAATGCCCCACTGTTTTGATTACCATAGCTTTGTAGTAAGTTTAAAAATTGGTTAAGTGTGAGTCTTCCAACTTTGTTCTTCTTTTTCAAGATTATTTTGGCTATTCAAGCCCTCTTGCTATTCCGTATGAATTTGAGGATTGGCTTCTCCATTTTTGCAGAAAAGGTGGCTGGAGTTTTGATAGGAAGTGCATTGAATCTGTAGATTGCTTTGGGAAGTGATGCCATCTTAACAATATTAAGTATTCCTATTCATAAACACAAAATGTGAGGTTGGATATTTTTCACAAATTTATTCTCATTTTGCTCTATGTAAATTGCCTATTCATATCCTTCGTCCTATATTCTAATAACTTCTGTTTTCATACTGTATTATGTAAGCATTTCTAATGTAGAAACTAACCTTTCATCATAGATGGTAAAACTGTTTGTCTCAATTTGATGTTAGTTGCATGACCCTGTTTATGATGGTTTTTGTTTTTTGTTTTTAAATAGTCAAATGTGTCAGTATTTTCTTTCATGAAATCCAGATTTTTATATCCTCCTAGAAAGCGCTCCTCAATCTAATGTAAATAAATTCATGAAGGTCTCATTCTTACAATTTTATTTATTTTATATTTACATTTATATCATTGATAAATTTGGAATGTATTTTGGTAAAATGACTGAGGTAGGCATCCAATTTTATCTGTTCTGAACAATCTATCCTTTAGCACTGATCGAAATGCCATCTTTATGCCATTCTAATTTCTCAACTGTATTTGGATCCATTTCTGAGTTCTACATACTTTGTGATTATATTGTCAATTTATTCTTCACTGCCAAATGGCTTTTTAAAATTTTACCTTTCATTTTCAAATAACTATGGATTCACAGAATGTTTCAAAAATAGTACAGAGAAGTCCCTTGTACTCTTCAGCCAGTGTTCCTCAATAGTTGCATCTGATGTAACTCTGGTACACTATCAAAACCAGGAAATTGACATTGTTGCAGTGTGCCATTTTATCACACACACACACACTAGTGTAAATACCACCACAGTCACTATACAGCACTATCATACCATGACAATGTTCCTAACATCTCCAACCTCTCACCACTCTTAACCTCTGGCAATCACCAATCTGTCATTTTAAGAAAGCTTTACATTTGTCATTTTAAGAATGTTTTAGAACTGGAATTATACCATGTGTGGCATTCGAAGACTGGCTTTTCTCACTCAGCATGATGCCCTTGAGATCCACCCAAGTTGGATGTATCAATAGTTCATTCATTTTTATTGCTGAGTAGTATTTTATGGTGCGGTTATACCACAGTTGGCTTAGTCACCTACTTATTGTTGGATATTTTGGTTGTTTCCAATTTGGGGCTACTACACATAACCCAAATACAAATATTATGAGCATCCATGTACAGGTTTTTGTGTGGACATAAAAATTTCCTATCTCTGAGATAAATACCTAGGAGTGCAATTGTTCAGCCACATGATGTGTGTGTGTGTGTGTGTGTGTGTGTGTGTGTGTGTGTGTGTGTGTATTTTTTTTTTTTTTTTTTTGAGACAGAGTTTCGCTCTTGTCGCCCAGGCTGGAGTGCAGTGGCACGGTCTTGGCTCACTGCAACCTCTGACTCCCAAGTTCAAGTGATTCTCCTGCCTCAACCTCCCAAGTATCTGGGATTACAGGCTCCTGCCACCACACCCAGCTAATTTTTGTATTTTTAATAGAGACGGGGTTTCTCCATGTTGGTCAAGCTGGTCTCGAACTCCTTACCTCAGGTGATCTGCCTGCCTCCGCCTCCCAAAGTGCTGGGATTACAGTCGTGAGCCACCGCGCCTGGCCTGATAAGTGTATATTTAGTTTTTTGTTTTTTGGGGTTTTTTTAAGAAACTCCCAAACTATTTTTCAGGGTGACTATACCAGTTTAATTGAAGTGTAGAAACCTTTCCTCCCATTACATTCCTTTACACTCCCCCATTTGTTACATAATTATCTTAAATGTTTTCTGTACATATATTGAGAACCACACTAGACGGTGTTCTAATTTTTGCTTCAACCATCAAATGTAATTTAGAAAACTCTGTAAAAGAAGACCTATTATATTTACCCATATTTTTGCTTACTGTGTTCTTTCTCCCTCCCTGATGTTCCAATATTCCTTCTTTAATTATTTCCTTCCAGTTTTGAATTTGCTTTAGGCATTCTTTTAGGGTAGGTCTGCTGGTGACAACTTGTCTTAATTTAACCTCACCTGAAAATGTCTTAATTTCCCCTTTATTCCTGAAGGATATTTTCACTAGATGTAGAATTTTGTGTTTTCTTTGAGCACTTGAAAAAATGTTTGCCACTTCCTTCTGGCCTCCGTGGTTTCTGAGAAGAAATCCACTGTCACTTTAATTGCTTTTCTCCAGTAAGTGAGGTGTCATTTCTCTCTGAAATATTTTTATTTGCCTTGAGTTTTCAGAAGTTGACTGTGATATTTCTTGGTGTAGAAATCTTCGGTTTCTTTCCTGTTGGATGTTTGCTCAGCATCTTAAATTGGTAGGCCCAGGTCTTTGGGCACATCTGGAAATTCCCCAGCCATTATTTATTTGAATACTTTTTTAGTCTCACTCCATTTCTCCTCTCCTCTTGGGACTCTTGCTGACACTAATGTCAGATCTTTTGTTTTAGTCCCACAGGTCCCTGCGGCTCTGTTCCTTTTTTTTCCCTAGTCTATTTTCTCTCTGTTTGTTCAGTTTGGATAATTTCTATTGGTTCTGCCTTCAAGCTCACTGATTCCACTGTCCTCTTCATTCTCCTGTTGAGCCCTCCATTGAAATTTTCATGTCATTTCTTGTGTTTTTCACTTCTAACATTTCCAGTTGGTTCCTCTTCATATCTTGTTTCTTTGCTGAGACTTTCTGTTTTTTCATTTGTTTCAGGTGTGTTCATAATTGCTCACTGAAGCATTTTTATAATGGCTGTTTTCGAGTCTGTGCCAGATAGTCCAACATTTCTGTCACATCAGTGTTCATATCTGTTGATTGTCTTTTCCCATTGGAGTTGAGGTTTGCCTGGTTCTTGGTATGATGCATGATCTTTTATTAAACCCTGGACATTTTGTGTATTGTGCTATGAGACTCTGGATTTTGTTAAATCTTGTGCTTCAGCTGGCCCCCTCCGACACCATGCTGATGATAAAGGGGGAGGGAGCACCACTTCATTACTTTCAGGTGGAGGGTGAAAGTCCAACTTTTCAACTGAGCTTCCATTGACACTTAAGGTGGTGAGGGGCTCCTTGTTACTATTGGGAAGGGATGAGAGTTCCACCTCCCCACTAGGCCTCCACTGATGCCACCCTTGCTGGGTGGGGCAGGAGTGCCTCATTACTGCTCCCCATGGGGCTTCCACTGACACTGTGGGTGTTTCTGAGTTACCAACTTATTTAGCACCCAGTTCTGCATATATGAGACCGAAACAAACAAGTAAATTCACCTCTCTGTCCTTTCTCAGGCCCCAGGTTGCCTAGCTGATCTGTTTCTC
Organism: Homo sapiens; assembly: GCF_000001405.40. Classification (NCBI taxonomy): domain Eukaryota; kingdom Metazoa; phylum Chordata; class Mammalia; order Primates; family Hominidae; genus Homo; species Homo sapiens. Next base: position 178,406,989 of record NC_000005.10, on the reverse strand, counting down.
TCCATCTTTCAGGGTCTTCTTCATATGTATATATAATGTCTAGGGGTTTTAGCTGTACTTAGCAAGAGGAGTAGGGAAAGTATGTCTACTGTATCTTTTTGCCAAGTTGTTTTAATTATTGTAGCTTTATAACATTTTAAATTCTTAATCTGGCTAGTCTTTACTCATTACACTAATTTTTCAAAGTTATCAAAGCTATCATATGTGTTTTCTCCACGTGAATCCCAATATTATTTTAAGTTTTCAAATAAAGAGTGTAGGTAGCCAGGCGCGGTGACTCATGCCTGTAATCCCAGCACTTTGGGAGGCTGAGGCGGGCAGATCACAAGGTCAGGAGTTCAAGACTAGCCTGACCAACATGGTGAAATCCTGTCTCTACTAAAAATACAAAAATTAGTCAGGCATGGTGGCGCGTGCCTGTAATCCCAGCTACTCGGGAGGCTGAGGCAAGAGAATCGCTTGAATCCAGGAGGCGGAGATTGCAGTGAGCCGAGATGTCGCCATTTCACTCCAGCCTGGATGACAGAGCGAGACTCCGTCTCAAGAAAAAAAAAAAAAAAAGAGTGTAGGTATGGTTATTGGTATGTCATCAATTTTGGAGATTAATATAAGGAACATGAGCATCTTTTCAATGCTGAACATGTCTCTACTTCTCCAAGAACTAGCATGTCTTCCACTGTGTTTGCCTTCTCAGTATCCCTCAGGAGAGTTATTTTAAGCTTCCTTCATATACATCTTTTGATTTCTTATTGAATTTACTCTTAGGTTTTTTTTTATCTTGTTCTTTTAGTTATTAAAAATGGGACACTTCTCCACTATACCTTCTAACTGGTTATTATTTGTACATGAGAATGCCATTAGTTTTTGTTTGTTGGTTTGTTTATTTTGAGACAGAGTCTCACTCTGTTGCCCAGGCTGGAGTGCAGTGGCGCAATCTCAGCTCACTGCAGCCTCCGCCTCCCAGGTTCAAGGGATTCTCCTGCCTCAGCCTCCCAAGTAGCTGGGACTACAGTTGCATGCCACCATGCCTGGCTAATTGTTGTATTTTCAGTAGAGATGAGGTTTCACTGTGTTGTCCAGGCTGATCTCTAACTCCTGACCTCAAGTGATCCACCCGCCTTGACCTCCCAAAGTGCTGGGATTACAGGCATGAGCCACTGCGCCCAGCCTAGTTTTTGAATATTAAATATTCATCTATTCTCTTTACTATATTCTTCCATTACTCCTAGTGGTTTTTAGTTTGTTCTCATGGATTTGCAGTATCAAATCATACAATGTGTAAGTAATTGTATTTTTCATCCTCTTTCTTTCCTTTCTCTTGGCCTTCTGGAGAACTGTTCAGTAGTGGTGGTCGTCGTGCATCCTCATGTTGTTCCTGACTTTAATGGGGATGCTTTCAGAGTTTCAACAGTAGGTGCGATTGCATGTCACATTTGGGTATGTGATACTTTTTTTAACAATGCAAAGGAAAGGAGTCACCTCTTTCAATTCTCCCTCTTATCACAGTGTAATAAATGAGGCATTAATAATGAAAGTGTTTAAGCATACAAAAACCTTGCCATCTGGAGATTTACAATCTCCTAAAACTATTGGGTCAGAAAGAAAATACAAAAATTGAATCATAGTTTGTTTGAAGAACAATGTAAACGAGGACAGAGCTATATTAATCAGAAGTGTTGAAACATGTAACAACTTAAACTAGCTGAAGCAAAAGAGAACTTACTGACTCACAAAACCAAGGCAGAAACGTCAGGGTGGAGGTGGCCTCAGAGCCGGGCTGTGGTTTATCCATCACTTCCCAGAGCAAACACAGAACCAGACACGCTGCGGGCATGCAAGCCCATCTGGCCCTTGGGCTGCCAGTGTTTGTGGCCTGTGGTGCGAATGCGGGAGGTAGAGATGGGCTCCAAGGGATGCTTAGGGGGTCACCTGGCCAAGCCTGAGGAGGGATCATGGCGGCAGGGGCACCTGGTATGGGGATGTCATTGGTTATGTGTTATCCACAATAGCAAAAACACCAGGGTTTGTAGATGACTTCCTTTTCTATTATAAGTTAAAGCAAAATCAAGGTTAGCTGCATAGTGAGCTCATTCTTGTCCTGGTGTGCTGGTCCTAGGTTTGTCTTCCTGACTGGGAGAGGGAGTGAGACAGGGAAAGGGAGAGTTGCAGCTCGCACACCCCAGGGAATGCCAAGAGGTGTGGGCCCAGGTCTCTGTCAACCCTCAAGGCCTCCATCCTCAATATCACGTGAGCCTCTGCATCTCTGAGGGGACGGAGGACATGAGGGGTCTGGTTATCACACATGGTCTTCGTGCCCCTTGCAGGACCATTGGTCTCTGGCCAGCAGCATAGATTTATTGAGTGGCCACTATGTGCGGCAGGGATCAAGGTCCCAGGGACCAATGGAGGGGCTGGGCCAGGTTCACCATAAGGAATCAGCTGTATTTCCCTCAAATTTTCATGTTATTTCAATTTCATGCCTTGGTGCCTTTGTCTGTGTTGTTCTTTCTGCCTGGAGTGCCCTTTTCTTCCTGGCAAACTCCTCAAAGGACACAGCTCAAGAATCTCCTCCTGCATGAAGTGTGCCCTGCCCAGCAGCACTGGTTTCTCCCTCCTGGTGTTGCTGAAAACCTGGTGCCTGCCTCTCCTTGCTGCATCCACACCTGTGTCTTCTATTGGACTGTGGTCCTTCATTGTTAAATGAATGAATGATGGTGGCAGTGATTGCGATTGAGCACATTACTAAGGTGTGGCCACTCCTTGTGATGGGCATGGTACCCCACAAGGGGATCTGAAGAGAGAACGCCGGAACTGGAGGCAGATGCTGCCTGCACACAGTAGGCGCTCCGCGAATGGCTGCCGTCTTCCGGTTCTGACTGTTCACTACATGAATGGAGGCAGGGTGTGTGCAGGGCCATGGGGAGACATGGGGTGCAGGAGACCCCATCTGCCTGTCTTCCTTGCCTCTCTGTTCCCGGGAATCTCACCAAAGGCCAGAAAAGATCCTTTGAACTTCTCTTTAGAAAAATCCGTCATTCTTTTGAGGCTTTTGTTACGAGAAGCTGGACAAGCCTGTGGCTTCGAGGCCATGATGGGGGCCTCACAGGTCTGCCCTTCTGGGCCACCCCAAAAGGCTCACAAGCGCCTTCAGATCAACACTTCAATCAAGGTGTTTGCGTAAAAGCATTTGTTCTTTTCTTTCCTTTGGCCTCACATTGTCTTTCTTGGAAAGCGTTGCAGGTGTTGGGCACAGTTGGTGCACAGGGAAGCGGCTTCAAACAATGGTTACACATTTGTGAGGCATCTCAGCCAGGAACTATAAGGACCACTTGGGGCTCTGAAAGGTACCTGAAGATCTTGGCCTTTATTTCATTCTTAGGCCTTTTGCCTGGAAGTGGCGTTACACATTGTGAGCCCTGGCATATGGTGGAGGCTGGGGCTCAGGACAGGTGGGCCAGGCACCGGGGCCTCTGCGTCTCACTGGCTGAGTGGACACCATCGATGAAATAGGAAGAACAATCCCACCTTCAAGGGGCTGTTGCAATAATGGAGATAACGCGTTTGAAACTCTCCAAGGGAAGGAAGGGCAAGTAGCATTTTAGCGCCATATTGAGGGAGGCATGAGGTGTGTTGGATCCAGAACTCCTGGGTCAGGTCTGGCTCAGCCGTTGCTGGGTGCATGACCTTGGGCAGGTTATTCCTCCACTGTGTCTAAGTCTTGTCCTCAGTAAATTGGGGCTAATGTAAGGATTAAATGAGATAAAACACTGTAAACTGTATATACCACATCTGGCGTGCAGTAACAGTTTGATATGTGTCTGACTTGTAGAAGATTTCGGTAAATGGTATTTATTTTTTATTTATTTATTTTTTTTTTTTTTGAGATGGAGTCTCTCTCTGTTGCCCAGGCTGGAGTGCCGTGGCACGACCTCAGCTCACTTCAACCTCCACCTCCTGGGTTCAAGCAAATTCTCCTGCCTCAGCCTCCTGAGTAGCTGGGACTGTGGGTGCACACTGCCACGCCTGGCTAATTTTTTGAGTAAATAGTATTTTCATTCATTCACTCACGTTTTTGTGTGTGCTCAGAATTCATGGAACATTTCTCCTTTTTTGGATTTTTAATTCTATTTCTGAATTTTTCAAATTGATACATAACAGATGTACATATTTGGAGGAAACGTGATATTTTGATACGTTCATATAATGTGTAAAGAGCAAATCAGGGTTTATCCATCACCTTAAATATATATGTTTTTTCTTTCTTTTTTTAAGAGACAGGATTTTGCTATGTCCCAGGCCGTATTTGAACTCCTGGGTTCAAGTGATCCTCCTGCCTCAGCCTCCCAAGTAGCTGCGACTACAGGCATGCGCCACCACACACAGCCAGTTGCCTTAAATGTTATCTTTTCTTTTTGCTAGAAACATTTAAATAATTCTTTTCTAGCTATTTTGAAATGTGCAATTGGTTATTGTTAACTATAGTCACTCTACTGATCTATTAAATACTAGATCTTATTTATTCTAACTGTCTCTTTGTGCCCATTAATCAACCTCTCCTCATCCCATTCCTGCTTCCTAGACTCTGGGAGCCACCAGTCTACTCTCTGTCTTCGTGAGAGCTACTTTTTTTGGCTCCAAATATGTTTTTCTGTGTCTCTGTTTTTAGAGACAGGGTCTCACCACATTGTCCAGGCTGGCCTCCAACTCCCGGCCTCAAGCAATTCTCCCACCTCAGCCTCCCTAGGAGCTAGGACTATAGATGTGAGCCACCACGCCCAGCCAGTTCACTCATTCACTCACTTCTTATTGCTATCATTATTCTATTATTTAGATCTGACAACTAATGGATACTTTATGGGTTAAAAGACAAAGGCAGCTGGGCGCGGTGGCTCACACCTGTAATTCCAGCACTTTGGTAGGCTGAGGTGGGCGGATCACCTGAGGTCAGGAGTTTGAGACCAGCCTGGCCAACATCATGAAACCCCATCTCTACTAAAAATACAAAAATTAGCCGAGCGTGGTGGCAGGCGCCTGTAATCCCAGCTACTTGGGAGGCTGAGGCAGGAGAATCACTTGAACCTGGGAGGTGGAGGTTGCAGTGAGCCGAGATTGCGCCATTGCACTCCAGCCTGGGCAACAAGAGCGAGACTCCATCTCAAAAGAAAAAAAGACAAAGGCAATTAGCAATACCAAGTGTTGGTGAGATTGCAGAGCAACCAGAGCTCTCATATACTGCTAGGGGGATGTCAAATGGCATAGGCACTTTGGAAGACAGTTGGGTAGTGTATCTTATCAAGTTAAACATCTACTTCTATGACTCTGCAATTTACCTAAAAGAAAGCTATGTTCACACAAAAACCTGTATGCAAATGTTTATAGCGGCATTATTCATAATTACCCAAATTGGAAATAACCCAAATATCCCTCAAATGGAGAATGGGTAAAGAAACTGTGGTACATTTGTGCAGTGGAATACTATGCAGCAATAAACAGGAACAGACTATTGACACACACCACATGGGTGGATCTCAAATGCGCTATGCCAAGATAAGGAAGCCAGACTCAAAAATAGAAATCATACTACATGCTTTATGCTTCATTTCTATGACATTCTTATGAGGCAGAACTACAGGGATGATCCCTGAAAGCAGGGACTCAAACAGATGCTCGTACCCCAGTGTTCATAGCCGCACTATTCACAATAGCCAGAGGATACAAATGACCCAATGTCCATCAATGGATGAATGGATAAACCAACTGTGATCCATCCATACGATGGAGTATTTGCTCAGCCTTAAAAGGAAGGGAATGCTGACACATGTTACAAAGTGGACGAATCTTGAGGACATTATGCTAAGTGAAATATGCCAGACCCAAAAGGAGTTGGATGATATTGATTGATTTCACTGATGTGAGGTACCTAGAATAAACAAATTCATAGAGACAGAAAGTAGAGTGGAGGTTACCAGGCACTGGGGGAAATGGGAAATGGAGAGTTAGTGTTTCATGGGTACAGAGTTTTTGTTTGGGATGATTTAAAAGTTCTGGAGATAGCCGGGCACGGTGGCTCATGCCTGTAATCCCAGCACTTTGGGAGGCCGAGGCCAGTGGATCACCTGATGTCAGGAGTTCGAGACCAACCTGGCTAATATGGTGAAACCCTGTCTCTACTAAAAATACAAAAATTAGCCGGGCGTAGTGGCAGGTGCCTGTAATCCCAGGTACTTGGAAGGCTGAGGCAGGAGAATCACTTGAACACATGAGGTAGAGGTTGGAGTGAGCTGAGATTGTGCTCCAGCCTGGGCGATAGAGCAAGACTCCATCTCAAAAAAAAAAAAAGTTCTGGAGATGGATGGTGGTGATGGTTGCACACCGTTGTGAATGTACTTAATGTCATTGAATTGTACACTTAAAAATGGTTAAAATGGTAACTTTTATGTTATGTCTATCTTACCACAATTTTTAGAAAACTATAGAAACAGAGAACAGATCCTCCTACAGAGGACGAGGGAGTTTGGGGCTGACGGAGCTGTTCTGTGTCTCGATTGTCAAAACACAAAGAACGGTGCACCAAAAAGAATGCATTTTATTCCATGTAGACTTTTTTTTTTTTTTTTTTTTTTGAGACGGAGTCTCGCTCTGTCGCCCAGGCTGGAGTGCAGTGGCGCGATCTCGGCTCACTGCAAGCTCCGCCTCCCAGGTTCACGCCATTCTCCTGCCTCAGCCTCCCCAGTAGCTGTGGCTACAGGCGCCCGCCACCACGCCCGGCTAATTTTTTTGTATTTTTAGTAGGGACAGGGTTTCACCGTGTTAGCCAGGATGGTCTCGATCTCCTGACCTCATGATCCACCCGCCTCAGCCTCCCAAAGTGCTGGGATTACAGGTGTGAGCCACAGCGCCCAGCCTATTCCATGTAGATTTAAAAATAAAAATTTAAAAGATAGAGGTGTTCCAATTGGGCTCCGACTGTTCTTGCTGGTTCATTCATTTAACCAACAAATATCGATCAACTCCACTGTGCCCCAGCACAGTGCCAGGAACCCTGTCCCCAGGCCCCTAGGCATGGACGCGGGTGGATCCGGAGACAGATGAGCCGAAGGGAATGAGAACCATGCGGCCGTCGTTATTCTAACTGAGAGAACAATCATGTCAGTACATTTTTCCCTGGAGACCAAGTCTGAAGCCTGGCCGCTCTGGATACTTCAGTATCTCCTCGAGTGAGGTTTTAGTTAGAGATGTTTACTCCCCTCCCTCCTTTGGTCAGCCTCCTTTTGATGCTCTGTTTTTAAAAACCATCTTTGGTTTTGGCTTGCTTGTTTGTTTTGCTACCCTCCCCACAACCCTTGAGTAGGATTGTTTTAAAACTGGGTAAACAGCCCATGTTTGCAGAGCTTTTGGTGAGTCTCCTGTGCTTTCCCCCGTGCAGGGGCGTGGGCCTTGTGTTGACAGCCTGCCGTCAGCTGCTCCCTTCCATGTTCCCAGCAATCGGCTCAACAAGGTGGCCCAGTCACAAACAAGAGAGACTGGCTTCAACAAAAAGGAGAAGGTGCTGGCTCCCAAAATGTAAAAGTGTTGGACTGGGCTAGCTTCAGCCATGGCTGGATCCAGCAGCTAGTGAGTGCTGGCAGGATCCTCCGTCTCTGTCTATCTTTACTTTTCCTCCCTCTCCCTCCCAGGGGCCCTCCCTTTGACTCCTGACTCTCTCTCTTCTCTGTGCTGGCTGCTCACAGCTGCAGCTCCCCAGCACGTGAGGGAGGGAGGGGCAGCAGAAGGCAGGTCCTGGGGCTGCTGACCTCCTGCTCAGAAACACCACACTCCATGTCAGTGATTTTCCTTTGTGAGGAGCCATCTGATCAGGATGTATTTCGATGCCAGCATCCGTGTGCATGACCTTGGACCAGGTGCCCCTTCCAGCCCCAGCAACTGAAGCCCACAAGCCCAGGGCCCTCTGCCCGTGCACAGGGACCCTGCAAGGGCACTGCTGTACGCTGGAGCTGAGCAGTCATCCCGGAGTGACGCAGAATGCAGTCTCTCCACCCGTGTGTTTACCAGCGCCTGGTGGGGCAGCTCGTCAGTGCCAGGCTGTCTGGGTGCTGGGATGCAAAGAAGAAAACGCTAAGACCTGCCCTGAGCACTCACAGCCTAACGAGAGACATGTTGTTAGCACAAGACGTGCCTAGGGGATCCCTTTCCTATGAGAACAACGGGTCCCTGAAAGAGGCCTTTTAATTTCATAATAAATAGTGAACAAAGGTTTCCTTGGGACTAAATCTTGAAAATAGAAACCGAAAATTGTAAAAATGAATTAATTTTACATTTAACAATATTTAAGCTATAACTCTGGGAGAAGTATTTTTGGTGGGGGAACAGAGTCTCATTCCGTCTCCCAGGCTGGAGTGCAGTGGCTCAATCTCAGCTCACTGCAGCCTCCACCTCCCAGGTTCAAGCAATCCTCCCACCTTAGCCTCCCAAGTAGCTGGGACTATAGGCACGTGCCACCACGCCCAGCTAATTTTTGTATTTTTAGTAGAGATGGGTTTTTGCCATGTTGCCCAGGCTGGTCTTGAACTCCTGACCCAATGTGATCCGCCTGCGTCGGCCTCTCAAAGTGCTGGGATTACAGGCGTGAGCCACCATGCCCAGCTGAGAATTTTTTTAAATAAAAAAAAGAATAATTTTTTCTCTTTGGAGTTATTTTACAAATAAACGTGTGAAAGCACATGAAGACTGTTCACATCTGAACGCCACAGCATGTTGATAAAGGGAGTTATTCGTGCACAAATATTCAAAGGCTCTGTCACTTTTCCTATATGGCTTTCCTGATCTTTTTTACCCAAGTTGCTCTCTTTTGACATGGCCAACATGCCCTTATTATCCTCTTTGGTTAACTGGGTTCACTCTGCCAAGACCCAGCCCCATTTGTTGATGTCTCGGCATCAGACCCAGGCAGTGTTACAGCATCACTCACATCAACTTCATGAAATTCTGCAACTTTTTTTTTTTTGACATGAAGTCTCACTCTGTCACCAGGCTGGAGTGCAGTGGTGTGATCTCTGCTCACTGCAGCCTCTGCCTCCAAGGTTCAGGCTGTTCTCCTGCCTCAGCCTCCTGAGTAGCTGGAACTACAGGCACGTGTCACCACACCCAGCTAAGTTTTGTATTTTTAGTAGAGACGGGGTTTCACCATGTTGGCCAGGATGGTCTCAATCTCTTGACCTCGTGATCTGCTCTCCTCAGCCTCCCAAAGTGCTGGGATTACAGGCATGAGCCACTGCACCCAGCCGAAATTCTGCAACTTTTTACAACATCTGTGGCTTCACTTGCAGTGGATTCGCATCACATTATTACAGGCACAGATAACCTCCTCAAACAGCAGGTGCATTTATGGCATGTAACGGTTATCCAGGCGCTGTCTAACCAAGACAGCGGCATGAGTGGGGGCGGATGCCCGTGAACAGGCAGGTGTGTCTGGGGGCACTGATGTTAGAAGGGGCAGTATAGTTGTGAGTTCTGTGTCCTGATGACTTTGGCTTCTTCGTTAAGCCTCAGTTACTGAATCCTCGCTGTACTTTTAAGTTTTCTCCCCCGAAACATATGTCTGATCCGTTGCAGCTGTGGGTCCTTAAATCCTTGCCCCGCCTCACTCCTGCGAGAGGCCTGCCGGAGCGCCCCCTCCTTGCGTCTTGCTAACGCAGCATCCCTGCCGTTTTCTTTTGCTTTGTCTCCCCCTCAGCTCTGCCCCCGGTGTATCCGAAGTGCTGAGTGGATGTTGGTGGCGGCAGGAAGGAGTGAATTAATGACCAGGCCAGCCTGACTCCAAGGTGGTACTGAGTAGGTCCTGCCAGCCCAGCCATGCTGCCACTGAGGCCCAGCACAGCCCTTCCTGGAGGCTGGGTGCACAGCCAGGCTTGGAGCAAGCCGAGTCCCAGAAAGCCTCTGCGAGTCCTTCCTGACACGCAGAGGGGACTGCTGATGGTCTGACTCCCATCTGCTACACATGGGGACAGGTGGCCCCTCAGTGCCAGATCTTTGACGTTTGTTCACTGGACACCAGGGAAGCCCCAGATGCTCAGCTGTTCTGCTCTTTGAAGTCCACGCCAAACAGTCCTGGGCAGGAGCCCAGAGCGCCTGCCCGCCGGGGAGAGACTCTCGGAGGACAGCCGGGGCCGGAACCAAGCCTGGACGTTTGGAGCTGAGAGCCGAATGCCCAGAGCGCCTGCCCGCCGGGGAGAGACTCTCGGAGGACAGCCGGGGCCGGAACCAAGCCTGGACGTTTGGAGCTGAGAGCCGAATGCCCAGAGCGCCTGCCCGCCGGGGAGAGACTCTCGGAGGACGGCCGGGGCCGGAACCAAGCCTGGACGTTTGGAGCTGAGAGCCGAATGCCCAGAGCGCCTGCCCGCCGGGGAGAGACTCTCGGAGGACGGCCGGGGCCGGAACCAAGCCTGGACGTTTGGAGCTGAGAGCCGAATGCCCAGAGCGCCTGCCCGCCGGGGAGAGACTCTCGGAGGACGGCCGGGGCCGGAACCAAGCCTGGACGTTTGGAGCTGAGAGCCGAATGCCCAGAGCGCCTGCCCGCCGGGGAGAGACTCTCGGAGGACGGCCGGGGCCGGAACCAAGCCTGGACGTTTGGAGCTGAGAGCCGAATGCCCAGAGCGCCTGCCCGCCGGGGAGAGACTCTCGGAGGACAGCCGGGGCCGGAACCAAGCCTGGACGTTTGGAGCTGAGAGCCGAATGCCCAGAGCGCCTGCCCGCCGGGGAGAGACTCTCGGAGGACAGCCGGGGCCGGAACCAAGCCTGGACGTTTGGAGCTGAGAGCCGAATGCCCAGAGCGCCTGCCCGCCGGGGAGAGACTCTCGGAGGACAGCCGGGGCCGGAACCAAGCCTGGACGTTTGGAGCTGAGAGCCGAATGCCCAGAGCGCCTGCCCGCCGGGGAGAGACTCTCGGAGGACAGCCGGGGCCGGAACCAAGCCTGGACGTTTGGAGCTGAGAGCCGAATGCCCAGAGCGCCTGCCCGCCAGGGAGAGACTCTCGGAGGACAGCCGGGGCCGGAACCAAGCCTGGACGTTTGGAGCTGAGAGCCGAATGCCCAGAGCGCCTGCCCGCCGGGGAGAGACTCTCGGAGGACAGCCGGGGCCGGAACCAAGCCTGGACGTTTGGAGCTGAGAGCCGAATGCCCAGAGCGCCTGCCCGCCGGGGAGAGACTCTCGGAGGACAGCCGGGGCCGGAACCAAGCCTGGACGTTTGGAGCTGAGAGCCGAATGCCCAGAGCGCCTGCCCGCCGGGGAGAGACTCTCGGAGGACAGCCGGGGCCGGAACCAAGCCTGGACGTTTGGAGCTGAGAGCCGAATGCCCAGAGCGCCTGCCCGCCGGGGAGAGACTCTCGGAGGACAGCCGGGGCCGGAACCAAGCCTGGACGTTTGGAGCTGAGAGCCGAATGCCCAGAGCGCCTGCCCGCCGGGGAGAGACTCTCGGAGGACAGCCGGGGCCGGAACCAAGCCTGGACGTTTGGAGCTGAGAGCCGAATGCCCAGAGCGCCTGCCCGCCGGGGAGAGACTCTCGGAGGACAGCCGGGGCCGGAACCAAGCCTGGACGTTTGGAGCTGAGAGCCGAATGCCCAGAGCGCCTGCCCGCCGGGGAGAGACTCTCGGAGGACAGCCGGGGCCGGAACCAAGCCTGGACGTTTGGAGCTGAGAGCCGAATGCCCAGAGCGCCTGCCCGCCGGGGAGAGACTCTCGGAGGACGGCCGGGGCCGGAACCAAGCCTGGACGTTTGGAGCTGAGAGCCGAATGCCCAGAGCGCCTGCCCGCCGGGGAGAGACTCTCGGAGGACGGCCGGGGCCGGAACCAAGCCTGGACGTTTGGAGCTGAGAGCCGAATGCCCAGAGCGCCTGCCCGCCGGGGAGAGACTCTCGGAGGACGGCCGGGGCCGGAACCAAGCCTGGACGTTTGGAGCTGAGAGCCGAATGCCCAGAGCGCCTGCCCGCCGGGGAGAGACTCTCGGAGGACGGCCGGGGCCGGAACCAAGCCTGGACGTTTGGAGCTGAGAGCCGAATGCCCAGAGCGCCTGCCCGCCGGGGAGAGACTCTCGGAGGACAGCCGGGGCCGGAACCAAGCCTGGACGTTTGGAGCTGAGAGCCGAATGCTGCTTAGCATGACTAATTAGCTCAACTAATTCCCCTCAGCCCTTGCCCGAGACCCAGGGCCTTGTAATTCTAGCCCTGCTATGTCCCACTTGTGACCCTGGGGAGGCATACCATCTCTCTGGGCCTCAGTTTCCCCATGTGTAGCAGATGGGAGTCAGACCATCAGCAGTCCCCTCTGCGTGTCAGGGTGGACTCAGGAACCAGGAGGCTGAACTTGCAGCCAAATGCTAGCTAAGGATGATTTTCAGTTTACCCAAAGATGTGAACCTTCAGGCCACACAGTTTAGCTGTGAACACCATGTTGAGGCCGGAACATCGTGGCTTTTGAAATGAGTTAATTTCTTGGAGCAGGAAAAGTACCCCGTGCTGTCAATACAGTTGTCTTCCTTGGAGATCTTCAGGGAGTGAGCTGAGAGAGGGCTGGTGGGGCTGCCTCTGCATTCCTGGGGTGGGGCTGCAGGCCCTATGCAGCCTAGCAGGTGTTCTCCAGCTGGGAGTGGCTCCGAGTTGAGGGCTCAGGGTTGACTCACCCAGTGTGTGGCAGGCACTGTTCTGTGCCAGCCTCTGGGCTGACTGAGCATCAGGGCATGGGTTAAACCTGTACCGGACCTGCCCTCAGGAGGCTCCAGGCCTGCAGGGCAGGACAGGTGCAGATAGTGACTGTATGCTCTGCCTGTGCTGGAGCCCTGGGCCTCCTCCTTGCCTGTCCTGCCTCTGCTTCCTCCCTGAAGCTTCCCTTCCTCCTGCCCTCCCAGGTCTTTCGCTCCAGGTTTGATAGTCTGTGGCCACACTGAGCACCTGCTTCCTTGGGACCAAGGGGTTATGTCCCATCCTTCTGTCAGGGCACCTGGTGGGCAGGGTTGGGGTGGGTCCTCCCCACTCCTTGGCACCCTTGGAAAATCAGTTGAAAAGAGGGAAGAAGCCAGGCTTGGTAGCTCACACCTATAATCCCAGCACTTTGGGAGGCCAAAGCAGGTGGATTACTTGAGGTTAGGAGTTTGAAACCAGCCTGGACAACATGGTGAAACCCCATCTGTACAAAAATTAGCCAGGCGTGGTGGTGCACACCTGTAGTCCCAGTTACTTGGGAGGCTGAGGCAGAAAAATCGCTTGAGCCCGGGAGGTGGAGGTTGCAGTGAGCAGAGATTGCGCCTGGGTGACACAGCAAGACCCTGTCTGGAAAAAAAAAAAAAAGGAAAAGAGGGAAGAGAGTCTTGATTGATGATTTTTATCAATTTCCTTCCACATGCATTGGGAGCTGGTCTCACATGATCTGAATGGTGCCAGGGAAATTTTTTTATTGTAGTAAAACATACATAACATAAAATGTACCATCTTAACCATTTTTAAGTGTACAGTTCAGTGGCATTAAGTATATTCACGTTGTTGTGCAACCATCATCAGAACTGTTTACATCTTGCAGAACGAAAACTCTGCACCCATTAAGCCATAACTCCCCATTCCTCCTCCCCACAGCCCTGGCACCCACCATTTACTTCCCATCTTTATGACTTGGAGTACCCTGGCTTGGCTCATCCAGCATTTGTCCTTCCGTGACTTCTTCTTTGTGGCTTCTTTCATTTAGCGTAACATCCTCAAGGTCCATCCGTGCTGTCGCATGTGTCAGAATTTCCTTCCTTTTTAAGGCTGAAAACTATTCCATTTAAGGCTAATGCTCCCTGCCAGGGCCATCTCTCGAGCCAGATGTTTTATATGCATGCAACAAATCGTTTACTTCGGCAACAATGCACGGTTGGGAGTTCGAAGGCCTGAGCTTGAGCTGCTTTTCTGCCAGGCACCCGCTGTGGGTCCTTGGGCTCTTGTCCTGCCTGAGTCTCTCTGCAAAATGCAGATGGCTGAGCAGGTGGTTTTGAGCACCCAGTGAGGGAGGGCGTTCTGTACTGGTGAGGAGTTGCACTAACAGTGGTACTGCTGTCAGACACCTCCAAGGTGTTTCTCTTCAGCGCTGGCACACTCTTAGGTCTCCTTTCTCCTTTTCTTGCTTGGCCACGTTGGGTCTTGTTCTTCCTGAGGCCTCCTCTTCTAATGTGGCATTTTCTGTTGAACTGTCAATCTTCAGGTAACAATGTGGCTATTGGTAGGAGGGGTCTCACTATTACATTTGCAAGTGGTGAAAAGCTGAGCCGGCCATGGGGTAGCGTGATACATTTGGGAGCCGAATTTAGGCTGAGGGTGGCAGCAGGGACCATTGTCCGCTGGACCCTGCCATCCTGAGTGGACTTCCTGTGGCCTCGTGTCTCAGTAAGAAGGCAGAGAACACAGTTTCTGTCCCTTTGTGCTTCTGTGTGGATAAAACATTGCTGCTGTCCTGACAGTTAGCCAGGGCAATTCTGGAGGTGGCGTGGCCTTCTGTGCAGCCCTGTTTCGTTGTAAGGTTTTTGTGTTTCTGTTTGAAGATGTGTCTTGTAGATGCAGTTTCTTTAACATTTTAGAAGAAAGATGGGAATGCAGTAGGTGCATTGTTTGAAAGATATAAATAAGGTGAGTGTGCTCCGAGGACACCCAGGGCAGATTGTGATGCTGCGTCCGTGCGGGCTCAGCCATTCAGATTGCTTTTGCTTTATAACAATCTTAGGATATAACTCACTATACAGTTTACCCATGTAAAGTGCAGAAGTCAGTGGTTTTTATTATACTCACAGAGTAGTGCAACCAACACCACAATAAATTTTGGAACAATTCATCAACCAAAAAAAAAAAAAAAAAATAGCAGACACTCCTATTACTAGCCACCCATCATTTCCCCTCAAAGCCCCCAGCCCGCAGCAACCACTAATCTACTTTCTGTCTCTACAGATTTCCCTATTCCAGACATTTCATATAAATAGGATCATATAATACGTGACTTTCTGTGTCTGGCTTCTTTCACTTAGCGTAATGTTTTCAAGATTCCTGCATGTTCATCCCGGTGTCAGTACTTCATTCCTTTTAGTCTCAAATAATGTTTCATTGTATGAATATACCACATTTTATTTATCCATTGATCAGCTGGTGGACATTTGGATACTTGGACTTTTGGGCCATTTTTAATAATGTTGCTGTGAACATGGGCGTACAAGTGTTTGTATGGACAGATGTTTCATTTCTCTTGGGTAAATAGGAGCAGAATTACTAGATCGTATGGCAGTCTGTGTGAAGCCATTTGAGCACCTGCCAGACTGTCTTCCAAAGCTGCTGCAGCATTTTTTACATTCCCACCAGCTATGGATGAGGGTTCCAGTTTCCCCCCATCCTCACCAACATTTTTGACTGTCTGACTCTTTTATTCTGGCCATCCTAGTGGGAGTGAAGTGGTACTTTATCGTGGCTTTAATTTGCATTTCCCTGCTGTCTAATGACGTTTCCTATGTCTTCATGTGCTTAGTAACTATTTGTTTATCTTCTTTGGAGAAAGGTCCATTGACATCCTCTGCCTATTTGTCTTTTTATTGTTGACTTGTAAGAATCCTTTACGTATTATAGTTACAGGTCCCTTATCGGATATATGATTTGCAAATATTTTCTGCCATTCCATGGCTTATCTTTTTCCTTTTCTTCACGGTATCTTTTAAAGCAGTGGTCTCCAACCTTTTTGGTGCCATGGACTGGTTTCGTGGAAAACAATTTTTCCACAGACAAGGGTGGAAGGATGATGGTTTTGGAGGCATTAGATTCTCATAAGGAGTGCACAGCCTGGATGCCTTGCATGCATAGTTCACAATAGGGTTCATGCTCCTATGAGAATCTGATGCCGCTGCTGATCTGACAGAAGGTGGAGCTCAGGCGGTAATGCTCACTGTCCTGCCACTCACCTCCTGCTGTGAGGCCCGGTTCCTAACAGGCCACAAACTGGTCCACAGCCCAGGGGTTGGGGCCCCTGTTTTAAGGCACAAAAGTTTATTTGTTTTGAAATCCAGTTTATCTATTGCTCCTTTGGTTGCTTATGCTTTCGGTGTCATATTAACACACTACTGCCTAATACCAAGATCATGAAGATTTACACCTATGTTTTCTTCTAAGAGTTTGATAGTTTTAAGTCTTACATGTAAGTCTGATCCACCTGGAGTTAATTTCTACATATGGTGTGAGGCAGGGGTCCACTTTCATTCTTTTGCATGTGGATATCTAGCTGTGCCAGCACCATGTGTTGAAAAGACTGTTTTTCCCCATGGAATGGTCTTGGCACCCTTGTTAGAACAGACAAGTTTTAAAAACCTTATTGATTGCAGGACAGCAGCCTCCATGACAGGTGCTTGGTAACTCAGGTGCCCACAGATGGCACTGGGAGGCCTTGCAGGGGTCTCTATTGTGCTGTCTCTGCCCTTCATTGTCCTGTGCACTTTGGGGTGAGAACATGAGGGGGTTCTGTGCCAGGGGACCCTCGGGAGAGCAGCTGGTTAGAGGGGCTTGGTCAGCTCTTCTTTATGTGGCCATACCTTTCTGCCACACTGAGCCTGGAGTGCACCAGCAGGTGACCTGCCTCATGGCCATGTGCCTCCTTGCTCCCTGCTGTCCTCCTCCAGCCAGTTGTAGCTACAATGACCGTACATCCCACATGATCCAGACAGTCTCAGTGTATGCCTGTTCTTCCTGCAAGTTAGCCGGTCTCTCCCTCTCTTAAAATATCTTGGTTTGGATAGTAAATGATATATTCATCCTGGTCCTGTAGCAAGGACTGGGGTGAGAATGTCCATGGGGTTCAAACCAGTACCCTGAATCCAAGGCCAGCCTTCGTGGCCTCTGGTAGCTTTGAGAGGGAGAACAGAACTTTCTCAAAGCCTCAGCAGATGTGGCTTGGATCCCACAGATCCGTCCTGAGCACATTGTTGGCAGGACACATAGTCTCTGAGCACCCCGCTGCTAGCTCCTGCCGCCGAGCGTCTTTCCTGTAAGCATGTGAGATTAGTGGCAAGGGGGAGCTTACCGGTGTCTTGGCAGGGGCAGCCGGTGCCACTTCAGAACGGCTCAGGAGGGCTGGACGTAGCTGTTTCTCCACACACTGCCTGCATGTGCCCACCCGTCACGCAAGCAGTCAGCTTTGTATATTCATACCCACCTTGGGCTCACCAAGGCCACAGGGAGAAGCCATGTGACATGGAGCTCCTTGTCACTCTGCTGTCACTAAATGAAGAACAAAACACCTCTGGAGGAGGCCACAGACAGAAGGGAAAGGCACTTAACTCTACACATGGGAATCACATTATATACACATTTAACCAATGCAAGTCCACTTCTACGACTTGGGGGTGGAGGGAAGTCCAGCAAAACAAGAGATAACTCATTGAATTAGTGTCAGTGGGCACCCTCTGTGAGGAGGGATGAGAATGTGCAGCTCCCCAGTGGACATCAGCTCCTGCAGACCCTGTGTGAATGTCTCGCCATCTGGGTGAGGTCTGAAGCTTTTGTGCAGCTTAGTCGTGAAATGCAAACTGAAGCATCACTTTGACTAAATGCAGATGTTGCTGTGTGCTGTGAGTCTCTGTGTAACTGTCACACAGGGGAGAGTGTAGCCAAACCCACCTTTGGAAAGGGAATGGGAGAGGGCTTCCTGGAGGAGGTGGCCAGGAGGCTGTGTTGAAAGGGGCATTGGGACTTTGCTGGGTGGAGGAAAAGGAAAGCCGCTTCCAGGCAGCAAAAATTTTGTAAAGCCACACACTGAGGCAACGGGAGCGTGACAGCCAGGTTTGGGGAGTCAGTCAAGGCTGGGTTATGTAAAGCCACACACTGAGGCAACGGGAGCGTGACAGCCAGGTTTGGGGAACCAGTCAAGGCTGGGTTATGAAGGCTTCAATTGCCTTGGTAAGGAGTGTAAATTTTAGCCTTTAGTTAGTGATCCCCAAATCAGTGTCCCTGGAGCACCTGACTCATGAGATGTCCCTGCGGAAAGGGTTCCACAGTCACAGAAGTTTGGGAAATCTTATCGTATAATCCCCTCCAATCTCCACCTTAGAGAGCTGCAAGGGATGTTAGCATACTAAAGGCCCTGAGAAGTCCTGCAGTAAACTCCCTTTTGACTGGTTACTCAGGGCTTTGTGTTCTGAGGAAATAGGCAATAGGGAGCCACTGCAGGTTTCAGTGCAAGGGAGTGACAGCATCGGATGCCAGTGATGGGAGACAGGATGGCTGGGCTGGGCTGGAGGCAGGGAGGCCACTCGGTGGCCTGGTCACTGGATGAGTCAGAAGGCCCATCTCCACCGCTCCTGGATGTCTGGGAAGGGCCCAGCAAAATCACCAGGGGAGGAAGTTGATGACAGGCAGTGGGAGAGACAAGCAAGGAGACGGCCACTGATGCTGCAACCCACAGCCTCCTTCCTCTCCCAGCTGGGATCCCCTGGGCTGCTTCCAGGACTTGGGAGGAGCCGCTGAAGAACCAGCATTGCTTAAGTAAATGTAAGTCACTTGCTTAAGTAAGTGTAAGCCACCTCCTGAGCTGCCCCGCTGCAGGTTCCAGGGATACCTGCTTCCAACAGGCATATCTGGCCTTTCTTCACCTTTGAGAAGAGGGAACGTAAGATTAAATCCAACTCATCCCCATGCCACCCCAGCCCTAAATTCTTCAGCAGAGTGGAGAACTGGCTCTGCTGTGGGATTATCAGGACTAGCGCTAAAAGCAGGTCTTGCATCTCTGACAGACCTGCTTGCTGGAGGGAGACTTACATTTCAGGAGTCTCTGAAAAATTATCTGTTAAAGGCATTTCAGGGCAGGGAGCTTCTGAGACTCTGAGGCTGGGAACTTTACATCCAGCAATAACGGAAGGGCTCTGGCAGGTGAGCCTACTGGAAGAATCACACCGTGGAGAGCGTGCGCTGGGTGGACATGCCCTGAGGAGCAGTGTCGGTGGGCGGTGGCCATGGTGGCGGGGGGCTTTCTGCATCAATCTCCTCCCACTTGCCCATTTCTGTCCTTCACTGGCAGTTCTTGCAGTGCCACCACAGCTGCCACATCTTGGGAGGAGGCCTTGCAGGCAGGTTGCTTTTGGCTCCTTATTTTCTCCTTGGGCCCTCTTCCTTCCTGAGTATAAAAGCTGGGGGACAGAGGAGTGGGAAACTCCGCAAGCACAGCGCGGGGGAAAATGGCCCACACTGTCTGTAGGGAGAACTCAGACCCACTGCCTCATTGTCGTTCGTTCATTCATTAGCTCAGCGTGTATTTACTGAGTGTGTTCTTTGACCTTATCTTTGTATTCGTACTGGGGATAAAAGGTAAATGGTCATGAGCCTCTAGAAGTTATTGGTCCAGGAGGGGAGGCTCAGGCAAACCCCAAATACAGTCGGCTGTGAGGGCAGCCCTTGGAGCAGTGTGCAGAGCATACCCAGATGCAGCAGGCAGTTCCCGACCCTGCCAGGAGAGCTCATGGGCAGGGGTGCTCTGAGCTGCAGGAGGGCAGCAGGAACATGTCCGGTGGGTGGGTTTCGGGAGGAGCGCTCCTGTGGAGGGACCCACCTGGGCAAACGCACTGAGGCTTGACCCAGCAGTGTCTTAGAGACTTGTGAGCGGGTCAGTTTGACCAGGGCTGGACATTTGAAGGGCATGTGGAAGGAGACGAGGAAGAGAAGTGGGGAGTCTGGGCCCAGGCATAAGGGGTGATCACCAGGCTACAGAACGTGGCTTTCCTCGGTGAGGCTGTGTGTGGGGGCCATTGAAGACTCGGGCAGGGTTGCTGTGAGCTGTCAGCACCAGGATGGGTAAAATGAAAGAGAAAAGAGGGTGTTGTTGGTTCCAGACGGGGTGATGAGAAGCTGCCGTGGGAGAGAAATAAGGTGGGGGTGCAGAGTGCCAGGAAGTCGGACAGCAGGAAGCCTGGAGCGAGAGACGAAACCTGGAGCTGAAGTCCAGAGGCAAAGCCGAGGTCAGCCTGTGGGTATTTATTGCACCCATCCTAATAGTGCAATATTGGAAGCCACTCAAATGTCTGATGATACTGGGCAATGGCCGAGGAAGTTACCAGGCATCCGATCAGTGGCACAGCATAGAGCCAGTGAGCATCAGGGCAAAAGAAGGTCACCTCCCCACGGCCATAGGAGTGTGCGTCCTGTTCTCTCCCAGGCTCTTGCTCCCCAGGAACCGAGGTTCAGTCCTTTCTGCTCCTGGAGCCCATGGTGTCTGCTCAGACTCCTGACGGGGCAGGGGTAGGCGGCGGGGACCCTTCTGCGCTGATAACGCTTCCCTCCCACCGGGTCTCAGTGAGCTGTGGGGGCGGGGGAGTTCACGGAGGAAAACAGACCCCCACTTTATCAAACACTCACCCACCCCGACCCCCCTCTGGTGACACACAGACTCATATCCTCATCTCAACAGGCTGAAGCAAATGGCCAAAAATGGAAATATTTGTGCTAGGTTGGTGGGATTGTGAGTGAGTCTTATTCCTAATATTTCCTGAAATAGTGTATTGCGTTTTTTTTTTTTGGAGACGGAGTCTCGCTCTCTCTGCCAAGCTGGAGTGCAGCGGTGCAATCTCAGCTCACTGCAACCTCCGCTTCCTGGGTTCAAGCGATTCTCCTGCCTCAGCCTCCCAAGCAGCTGGGACTACAGGCGCATGCTTCCATGCCTGGCTAATTTTTTGTATTTTAGTAGATACGGGGTTTCACCGTGTTGCCCAGGCTGGTCTCAAACTCATGAGCTCAGACAATCCACCCGCCTTAGCCTCCCAAAATGCTAGGATTACAGGTGTGAGCCACGGCGCCTGGCCTATGTTGTATTTTTAATAATAATATTGGAAAAACATACCCACATACACGAAGCCCGGGTTGGATACAAGCATTGTATTATAGCCTGCAATGCAAGCTTTCATTTCTCCAGCTGCCTATTAATGCTGCTGTGGATCTGCAAATTCTATGCACTCTGCCTTCTTCTGCTTTGGTACTAGATGGTTAGGACACATGGATTTTCATTTCCCGAGAAATGTCAGCTGTATTACGACTGTAGGGAAAATCAGTGAAATATTGTATGAAATCCCAGACTAAAACAGGTTGAATACATCTTTTGAAAATCCTGGCAGCCGACACGGGAACTTTCTGATCCCAGAGGTCCTGGTTTTATTATCAGATGCCTTTGAAGGTGGGTGAGCTTAGCTCTGGCCTCTGTGGAGCATCCTCTTTGGATTGGGTGTTTCCTACGTCAGTTTGCTCTGTGAACCCAGGTGTGAGTCAACATCAAGCCACGACGTGTGGCAGATGATGCGCTTAACGTCCTCAGACAGCCAGTCACCAGTCTGTGGGAAGCTTCGGGGGAAGGGCATGAGAGTAACTTCCTAACGTGCACACGGCCAGGGTCACAGGGAGAGCAGGGCCACCCCGGCTCGGTGCCCAGCACCCTCCTGGAGGAGACCGGCCAGGCTCCAGGGGCTCCAACAGTCTGGAGCCTGGCTGCACTCACGTCCTAAGAGAAATAAGGGGCAAAGAAACTGAGTCAGGCACCAGCACAAACATTTCCATTTTTGGCCATTTGCTTCCAGCCTACTGACATGAAGACGTGTGGGCCTGTGGGGGTGGTGTTTGATAGAGCAGGGGTGTTTCCCTCTGTGAATTCCCCGCGTCCACAGCTCACTGAGACCTGGGGGGAGGGAAGCATTAGCAGCTCAGAGGGGTCCCCGCAACCCACCCTGCCAGAGCGGAAGGCCCAGTAAGGAGAAGAGTCTGAGAGGCTCCAGGAGCAGAAAGGACTGAGCCCCAGTTCCTGAGGAGTGAGAGCCCAGGAGACAGCAAGTCCCACACTCCTATAGCTGTGGGTGATAACCCCACCCCAATGCTTGTTCCCCAGCTGTGACAACATGAGTCCAGCCACCAGGGGCTGCCACAGAAGACTACCCCGTCAGGACCTGCTCAGGCTCTAGGGACAGAGCCCCCGGCGTGGAGTGGGCTGGGCAGCCCAGTGTGGTGGCTTGGATGGGGCAGGCAGGGAGGCTGGGCACAGGGAAGGAGCGGGAGCCTCGCCACCCATTTGACCTCTCACCGCGCTCTTCCTCCTTGCAGGCTATTTCCCGCTTTTCTGTTACGGACCTTTTAATGCTTTAGGAAAAGGCACAGCCATTTCCCTCAGGGGGACTCCAAGCCCCAGGCTGTTCTGGGCCGTCCCCGGGTGGTACAAGGGTCGTGGTGGCTGTTATATGTGCACCCTGTGAGCGCGCACTCTGATTCAGTGGGTGAGGCCCCCAGGAGGCTTCTGGCTCTGAAACTGGACGCATCTGAGTCCAAGTCCCGGCCCTGCCCCCTCTGAGCCTTGGTTTCCCATGTCAAACCGTGATCTCTGAGGCAGGAGCAGAATCAGCGCAGGAGCAGGGAGGGAAGTAAGGCACGCCGGCCCCTGCACAGTGCCCGGTGGGCCGCTGGAGAGGGATGCACTCAGCGCCGTCCACGTGGCCTCCAAAAAGCCGAGGGAGGGGTGGGCAGGGAGGAGAGGTCTGGCTTGGAAAGCCGAAGCCTGGTTTACTACCCGGATGAACAGCCCCGGGCTTTCCTGAGGCTTCACCTCATGTCAAGACTGAGCAGCCAACACCTCGTGAAAGCTGGTTTATGAGAAAACGCCAGGCAGTGGCCAGGCCGGGCCTCCGTCGCCGGATCCAGGTTTTGAGAACTGCCCTGGGCGGGGAGCTGCGTGCATTTGCGATCGCAGCTCAGCTCGCAGCAGCGTCTGGCTCCACGCTGCTCTCGTTGTCACTATCTTAAAAGTGCCGCCCCTGACCCTGCCTCTCGGTCTTCTCGATGGCCAGCCTTATTTTACCATCACCCCTTTCTAGAGAAGAGGGGTCTTTGCAGAGAGGTGGGACCTGCCTGGCCGTGGCAGGAGATGCAGCCCAGGCTTGCACAGGCCGCCTGGTGGAGTCCTGGGCCCCCGTGTCACACAGCGTGGCCTCGTTTGCTAACAGGATGGATAACAGGTTTCCATTTTGATCTTCTCTTAACTCTCTAGCCATTCATGTCTATCTTTTTCTGAGATTCTTTTCGTCTCTGCCTTTTTTTTTTTTTTCTATTTCTGTCGTAAGGTTTGCTTTTACCATGTCCAGCGTGAGGCCACGGGGAGGTGACCACACAAAGGAGTGCCTGAAGTCATGCACGGTTTTCCCAGAGGCCCTGCAGGCCATTTAAGGATGCCCCAAAACCTCACCCCAGGGGGCTCCCGGCTAACACTGAAGGACTGTGATTGTGCATGCAGACTTGGAGAACGATGCTCCAGCTCCAGGCCGAGGGCCCAGGTTCCCACGAAAAGTCCTGGGACACAAGTCACGGCTGATGGGGGGCTTCTCCAACCCCAAGCCCACCTCCCCAAGAAACAACGGGACAGTCTTCTGGGGCTGAGTCCCTGGAGAATGGGGTAACCAGCATCCCAAATTGGGTGCCAGGCCTGCAGGTGGCAGAGACCTTAGAGCTAACTTCCCTGGGAGCCGGGAAGGGGCCGGCTGGGCCATGACTGGGGAACAAGCTGGACCAAGGGAGCCACCCTTGACCCCTTAAGGGGACTTGTCCTGGTTTCCTGACCACAGACTGGGTCAGGGCTGGGCCCTTGTCTGTAGAATTCTGATCAGGTGGGGTAGAGATAAGGCAGGCCATCTCTGCGGGAAGCTGGTCCCAACAGGAGCTGAGCATGTGGCCTAGGACATGGTTCTCAAAGTGCAGTTCCCAGACCAGTAGCCGCAGCACCTAGGAAAGTTCCAGAAAGTGGAAATGCAAATGGCTGGGCTGCACCCAGAGCTGGAGGAGGGGGAGGGGGAGGCAGCAGCCTGGGTTCTGACAAGTCTGCCAGCAAGCTCCTATGCATCTCAAGTCCGGGAACCATGCACCAGCAGCCCCCAGCCCTGATCACAGACACCCCCTGGCTCCTGTCAGCTTTTCAGGAGCCCAGCCAGCCCCGACAGGTGGAGTCTCTCACCTCCCCAGGTCTGCACTGGAGTGGGCCCCCCTCCCTCCTGTCCTCAGCTCCTCCCCACCCCCTGGTTGCCACCTGGTTTCACTTGACTTCCAGGCCAGCCGAGGAGCCAGGCCTCCCCGAGTCACGGCTTACACTCAGCCTTCTGACTCCTGCCAAGGCGGTGGGGAGGGGTGTGTGGGCCCAGAGCCAGGGCGCTTCTGAACCGTCTCCCTGAGCTGTGCTTCTCCCTCTTCAGTGCCCCCGAGTCCTGGGCCTGGGGCTCTCTTTTCCATGTCATACCCCTCTGGGGCTAAGGCCCCATCTCCCAACTCCTGGGACTGGAGGGGCTTAAGAACATAATGAGACTTTGCGGGAGGGGACACAGTTTCTCCACCCACCTTTGGTGCTGGGCTGCCCTCCTCACCCCCCACTCTGGCCATGGTGGGGTATCGGTTCACCCTACTCTTCCCCGTCGCCTACCCTCAGGTCCCGCCTCCTCCAGGTCTCTCCCTGTCCCCTGCCCCAGCCTGGCATTAGGTGATTCCCACCTTCTAGCCCAGCCTCCAGAGGAGGAGGAGGGCGAAGGGGCGTTTCCAACATGATTCTCATCCTTTCTGTCCATATATATTAACACTAGGCCTGCCGGTGCCCACAGAAAGAACCTGATTCGGAAACAAACACAAAAGCCCTGGAGGTTGACCAGTTGACCCACCCTTACCACCCTGACACTCCCTCCAGGCAATGTGGGTGATGATCAGCCGCAGCAGCTGCAGCTGGGACTCTGTGCCCCCACCACTCTTGTGTGACCCTCAGCAGACACCCAGCCTCTCTGAGCGTCGGCCTCTCAGCTGAGAAACCTCAGCCCCCCAGGGACTGTGCCAGAATGCCCCACCCATTCCCCCCGAAGATTCCAGTGCGGACTGAGAACCGAAACCCAGAAATAGGCATCTCTGTTGGTCAGACCATCTCACATGGAGACTCGAGGGCAAGACTAACCTGCCCTCAGAATGCCTAGGATTCCCACCGGAGGGGGCACAGGCCAATTTGATCCAAAAATTCCAGGCAATGCTGGGTGTGATGGTTCGTGCCTGTAATCCCAGCACTTTGGGAAGCCGAGGCGGAAGGATGGTTTGAGCTCAGCAGTTCAAGAACAGTGAGGGCAATAGAGGGAAATCCCATCTCTACACAGCATTTAAAAATCAGCCGGGCGTGGTGGCACCCACCTCTATTCCCAGCTACTCAGAAGGCCGAAGCGGGAGGATTGCCTGAGCCGGGGAGTTCAAGGCTGCAGGGAGTCACGATCATGCCACTGCACTCCAGCGTAGGCGACACAGCAAGACCCTGTCTCAAAAAAAACCACTCCAGGCCAGATCACCCTCTGTGTGGCTAGGCCTGGGCCCGGAGACACAGAATTCCCATATGGCATGACAGCCTGCTGCTCTGTATACCATTCCGTCCTCACTAACACAAATGCATGGATAGATGGTAACAGCACAGCTCAGGTGAAACCACCCACAGACCAGCGACAGGCAGGACCCTCTCTCCCGGTGGTGCTGGTGTCCCAAGCAGCTGGTCCTGCTGGCATGGACACACCTTCTGCTCTGAGTGGCACTTCTCAGCCTTCTCGCCATCCCCATGGCCATCGTACTTGCTGGCCTTCCCCTGTGGAAGGTGGGAGTAGGGGAGCCGGCAGGGTCCCCTGGGCTGGTGCAGCTTCCACACTTCCCTACATCCTGAGGAGGGCCAGCTGCTGGCTTAACTGTTCTTCTTTCCCAAGTCCGAAGGGACCTTTGTAAGCCACCCCCTAATTATTTGTTGAAGGCAACGTCACCAATCCTCACAGGTGGAGTGGATGAGTGAGGGGCAGGGAGTGGCAGAACCCCACTCCACTTCAGTGACTGTGGCCATGCCAGACCCTCTAGGCCCAGGTAGGCCAGGGCCCCTTGATTTTCCAGGTGAAAACTTGCAAAATTAGGACTTGACGATGAAATCTGCCTGGTAGCACTGGCCACGGATCGGAATGGGCCTAGCTAGATGTGCCTGCCGGCTGGGTGGGCCCACACATCTCCAGGGTGCGTCTTTGCCCTGCCCTCCCCACTCCCCTGCCCTGCTCAGCCTTGGCCTCAGCTGTCCCCACACCCGCTGCCCTGGAAGGCTGTCCTGGCAGAAAGCACTCATATTGTGACCCTGCTCAGCAGGACGCTGGGGACAGGTGAAGTCCCTGCCTTTTCTCTCCTCCCTCTCACTGCGGCTGGTCCCGACATTGGCCCCGGACGTGATCCTCCCTGCCTCTGTCCCGGCCGTCCTCTTAGCCAGGGCCGTGCTGTTCATACCACCTCCTTCATTGGCTCAAATGCCACTTCCCATTCACTCATTCTGGTTTTAAAACGTTGAAAAACATTTCCACGTAGAAATGTATACATTCTGTTAAAAATAATGAATAATGAGTGAAATCAACTGCGACTGAAAAATCAAAACTTGGAACTCCTGATCAGCAGCTGTGGTGACAGTGCCTTTTCCCCTTCAGCAGAAAAAGAAAGAAAATATGAGAGAAGTACAAAAACAGGAAAAAAGCATACACACACACACACACACACACACACACACAAATGCATGCTCTAGAAATCCAAGGATAAGTTTTACGTGGCTGCACTGGAGTGTCCACATCCCACTGCTGGGCCCCGCCTTGGTGTGCCACATTGGACCCCCTCATCTAGGTCACCTGTGACCCAGAGTTGCAGTCCCCCCCAGCAGGTTCTGGTCTTCATCCTGCTCCAACACTAGGCAGCAATTGACCCATTGACTTTCCACACCCTGCTGTCTGTGGCTTCTACAGATAAATAAAACCATTCCTCAGTGGTAAAAAGGGCTTCAGCAAAACAGGCCACATGTAGAATTTTGTGTATAGATCATCACGGTTCACAAAACACAGGTCATGTTGGAGGCAGCATCGGTTCAGGAACTAGCCCTGAAAGTCTGTGGAGCCTGGTTCCAGCTCCAACCTGAGGCTGTGGGGCCTCCCTGACCTTCAGTTTCCTCATCTATAAAATAAGGTTGAACTAAATGGGTAGTTATTTTTCCTTGTTTTTGTTTTCTTTTTCTTTTCTTTTTTTTTTTTTTGAGATGGAGTTTCGCTCTTGTTGCCCAGGCTGGAGTGCAATGGCGTGACCTCTGCTCACCGCAACCTCCGCCTCCTGGGTTCAAGCAATTCTCCTGCCTCAACCTCCCTAGTAGCTGGGATTACAGGCATGCACCACTAGGCCCAGCTCATTTTGTATTTTTAGTAGAGACAAGGTTTCTCCATGTTGGTCAGGCTGGTCTCGAACTCCCGACCTCCGGTGATCCGCCCACCTCGGCCTCCCAAAGTCCTGGGATTACAGGTGTGAGCCACCACACCCAGCGTGTTTTCATTTTTATAGTTCTAGGTTTTTCTCTATTAATTACAGGGGTAATACATGAATTCTTGCTTACTGTAAACAAAAGTAATACAAAAAGTACCAAAATACAGAGAATAATGTGTCAAAGGCTGCCTTCATCCCTGCAAGACCCCTCTGCCCAGAGGTCCCACTATTACCAGATTCATGTGTGTCCATCCAGGCCTCTTTCTCTGCATGTACACACACAGAGGTACACAGTGCACGTAGAGAGTTTTGTTTAGTATTTTTCTGCTTGTTTCACTTTTCCAGTCCTAGCATCTACGGTCAACAGTGCTGACTCATGAGATACCTTTCAAGTTTTGGTTAAATGAATAAGGGTTTTTTTTAGTTGATCACTATGTCTTGGAGAGCTTTCTGGTTTGTTTGTTTTTTTTAATTGTCTCATAGATACACAATAATTTAATCAAATTTCTCTAGTGCAGGTTCACAATCTGTTAGCCAAACCCTTTGAGCTTGACGTGTGCAGAATTCAGAATCCTTCTGGGGCAGCTCCCATAACCAGACAGGCTAATGTTTCTGCAGTGAAATGTATAAACACACCCGCAAGTGAGATAAATAAAGTCTAGAAACAGCCTCACATCAATCTGGCTTGCCTCCAACTGAAAACTACTCCAGTTTAACATAAACTCTTGGCTCTTAGAGCTTTTGGGATTCCAAATAAGAGAAGGATGGGGTCTCTGTGTGGAGCCTCAGTCAGACCTGTTGGGCAAGCTTGGCCAAGCCTGGGTCTGCCTCAGGATCTTCCGTCCTGCGGCCGCTGCCACCTGCCAGCGGTCTCCATTCACCCTGTCCTTGAGCCTTGGTGATGAGGGTCCTTCCTCACCCTGAGGCAGGTGACCTTTCCCAGGAGGCACCAAACCTCCCTGGGCACTCAGCGCTGCTCCATCCCTGCGTATCCTGCAAACTGCCCGGCCCCACCCCACATCCCATCAGCTCTGTTCATTGTCGCCTCTGCGGGGGAACTTCTCCCATCTCCACGCCACCTTCTCCCTCTTGGGTTGGTGTTAGTGACCTCCAGCCCTAACCCTCACTTGAGCTCTGGTTTTACTACTCTGATCACACTGGATTTACCAAAAACCCATATGCCAATTCCCAGTTAGGCTTCCCAGCCCTGCCCTTCTTGCCACTCCCTCCAGTCAGCGGCAGAAGTACAGGTCCCATACCGGTATCGTCCTGCTTGAGGAGGCCCACTTGCTGTGGGGCATGGACTGCAGTCCTCAGGGGGTGCAGGAAAACCCTGAAATGGGGCAGACTGAGTGTCTGTGCACATGTGCATTTTCCCAGGGCTCTGTGGGGCCTGTTATCCCCTTGGAGAGCTACCACTGTGGCTCTTTTTACTTTTTAAAAGATGGGGTCTCACTATGTTGTCCAGGCTAGAGTGCAGTGGCTGTTCACAGACACAGTCCCACTACTGATCAGCATGGGATTTCAACCTGCTCTGCTTCTGACCTGGGCCGGATCACCCCTCCTTCGGCAACCTGGTGGTCCCCTTCTCCTGGGAGGTCACCATATTGATGCCAAACTTACTGTGCACACTCAGTCAGCATTGTGCACTTCAGCCCGGAGCTCGTGGGCTCACCGATCCTCCTGCCTCAGCCTCCTGAGTGGCTAGGAACACAGACACGTGCCATCGTGCTTGGCACACTGTGGCTCTTGAGTAAATCCCTTCTCCCAATGACCCCTGCCTGCTTCTCCAGTGTCTTCTCCACCGTGTGTCGTGGGCCCCAGCTCCTGCCACACACACAGGATGGCTCACCAGCCCCTAAAGCGCCTTCCACTGGCCACCTCTACGCAGGAGTCCCCTCGGCCTGCCCTGCACCTGCTCTCTCGGCCTCCCGGTGACAGACTGTGACCGTGACTCGCGCGCTTGTCCACACCACCTCCACGCCACTCCCATGGCTTCCCACACCCCTGAAGATCGAAGGTCCAGGGGAGGATGGCACCGCCTTGGAGATGGGGTTGGGATGGGGAATTGCACCCAGGGAAGTTAGGCTTGAGGATCCTAGGACACATGGCCGGTGGCAGAGGGTGAAGAAAAGGCAAAAGGCCCAGGATGACACGTCTGGCTGTGTGGTGAGTTTTCACTAGTGAGTTTGGGTAGACCCATGTCGGGACTGACTGCCGAATGCCTTGGGCTGATTCTCCAGAAGCAGTGGGGTGGCCCCGGCCCCTGGAGATGAGGGCCAGAATTTCACTTCTTAAAACACCAGGCAGTTCATGCCTTCCCTTGGAAAAGGAAGGAGGAACACACTGCCTTTGCACAGCCAGGAAGGAAAGACATGGCATGTTCAGGGGAGGCAGCTCTGTGTCTGACAGATGTGAAACACCAGCCCGTTACGGGAGAAGATCTGTTGGAATTACGTTAATCATAGCTCTGCTGGGTGGATGCTGGTTCCTACCCGCTGCCCACTGCTGACTCAGACGCTTTCCTGTGCGTGGCCCGCGTAGTCCCATCAATCTGCAACCGGCTCCCTGTCAGACCCCATGAAACAGGCTGCGGGGCATCGCATTTGTCCTTGAGACATCCTCCAGCCGGTGACCCCTTCAAGAGGTGATGAGTAGTCCAGTTTCTGTGGTTCCTGGTGTGCCGAGGGGAGGGAGGGCTTTTGTGCATTTATCAGCCTTTTCGGGGGAAGATAAAAGTGGCCAGGGTTCACTTTGATGAAGTCATGGGAGGCAGCCTTTTGCTATTTCCCTTTCACTCCTGTCCTGCTAAGCCCTAATTTAGCCTCCTTGGCACTTTTGTCCCCAGCAGTGCTTATCTTGGCAGTAAACAGGGCATGACTTTCGCCTTGCAGATGGCGGAGGGTCTCAGCTGCATGTGGAAGCTTGCACCCCTTACACAAAGAAGCATCTGGTTCCACTGTCTCCTAGCTGTGTGGCCTTGGGCATGTTCCCTCACCTTTCAGAGCTTCCGATTTCTCTTCTATTAAATGGAAGTAAGAGGCCTAACTTGCAGGATTGCTTGAGAATTACAGGTGGTGTATCTAAAGCACCTAACTCAGTGCCTGGTTCCTAAAGAGCAGCTATGGTCATCTGCTGCCCTTTGTCTAGAAGACCAGGGGCACCAATGCAGTGCAGGGGGTCTCCCCAGCACCAGGCAGTGGGGGGCCTCACACCCAACTCCCTGTCCCAGCTGTGGTCCCTGGGGCAGGTCACCTAACCTCTCTGAGCCATCATGTCCCACCTGAGAAACGGAAATGATAATACCTACTTCTCAGAGATGTGAAGACAGAGTTCCTTCTCACATGTTCACCGAGCACCAACCAATAGCAGAGAATACCTAAATAACAAAACAGACGGAAACCCGGATCCGATGGCATGCCCGTTTAGCAAGGGGACAGACAAATCATGAATATAATAAGCATGCCCTGTAGTACTTTAGAAGATGACAAGTGCTATGGAAAAGAGAAAGCACAGATGAGACTGTGCCTTCATCACACTGGGATGTGGCGTGTGCAGAGTGGGATATTAAATAGAGTAGGGAGGCAGGGCCAGGGGTCCCCCTGGGAGGAAGACATTTGAGCCACAACTTACAGCTGTAGAAAAGGGAATGGGAGCCGGGCGTGGTGGCTCACGCCTATAATCCCAACACTTTTGGAGGCCGAGGCGGGCAGATCACTTGAGGTCAGTAGTTCGAGACCAGCTGGCCAACATGGTGAAACCCTGTCTCTACTAAAAATACAAAAATTAGCCAGACATGGTGGCAGGCGCCTATAATCCCAGCTACTCGGGAGACTGAGGCAGAAGAATC
The DNA here is from genome assembly GCF_000001405.40 of Homo sapiens. Taxonomy (NCBI): domain Eukaryota; kingdom Metazoa; phylum Chordata; class Mammalia; order Primates; family Hominidae; genus Homo; species Homo sapiens. Next base: position 178,375,810 of record NC_000005.10, on the reverse strand, counting down.
ACTTGAACCTGGGAGGCGGAGGTTTCAGTGAGCCAAGATTGTGCCACTGCACTCCAGCCTGGGCAACAGAGGCAGACTCCGTCTCAAAAAAGAAAAAAGAAAGAAAGAAAAGGGAATGGGTCAAGTGGATTTCTGGTGGAGACGGGGATCCAGCACAGGGGCCACCTCAGTGAGCAAGCGTTTGCCTGGTGAGACTGAGGTCAGCAAGGTGGGAGAGAAGTAAGACGGGAAAGCAGGAACGAGGCTGTCGGAGGGGCAGGGCGGGACCACGCAGGGCCTTTTGGGCCATCGTGAGGTGAGACCATCGACTCTGTGTGAGACAGAAAGTCATTGCAGGGTTCCGAGAGAAAGGCCAAGTTCTGATTTAGGTTCTTACAGGGTCACCCTGGCTGCCATGCGGAAGACAGGATGCAGGGCAAGGTGGTGCCTGGAGGCAGTCGGTAGGGTTTGGAGAATCCAGGGGAGAGATGTCCGTTTTAGGACCTTTTCATCCCCTGCGGAAGAAAGCCCATGCCCTGTAGCTATTATCCCCCACCTCCCCTCCTCTCCCCCAGCCCCTGCCAACCACGAGTCTACTTTCTGTCCCTGTGGATTTGTTCATTCTGGACATTTCCTAGAAATGGACTCCTGCAGCGTGTGACCTTCTGTGGTTCATGTCACTTCCCATCATGTTTTCAAGGTTCGTCCATGTTGTGGCAGGTAGCATGTTGCAGCTTTCGATGGCAGAGTGATATTCTGGTGTTCAGATCAACCACATTGTCTTCATCCGTTCATCAGCTGACGGTGATTTCGGTTGTCGCCACCTTTTGGCTGTTATACGTATGCTTCTATGAACATTTGTGTGCAAACTTTTTCTGGATATATGTTTTCATTTCTCTTTGGCTACTTGATTATGGGTTATTGGTTATTGGGGTTATTCAATAATTTGACTCCTGATGCCTCGAGGAGTGGAATTTCTGAGTCTCAGGGTAACTCTGTGCTTAGCTGTTTGATTAAGCTGCCAGACTGGCTTCCAAAGTGGCTGCACCATTTCACGTTCCCACCAGCCATGTATGAGGGTTCCAGTCGTGCCACGTTGCACCAACACCTGTTATTATCTGACTTTTGATTGCAGCCATCCTAGCAGGTGGGAAGTGGTTTTAACTAACAGGTTTTCAGCGCTTACTAAAGCTGGACACTGACAACACCTTCACTCATCTAAACTCTTACAGCAGCCCAGTGAGGTAGGTGCTGTTCTCATTTCACGGATGAGGAAACTGAGGCACAGAGAAGTCACAGGTGGCAGAGCTGGAATGCAAACCCAGGCAGTCTGGTTCCCAAGCCCATGATTTTAACCGCACTCAAAAACCTTACGGAGGCGTGGGGGGCACAGCCACGAGCTGCTGTCCACGGTGTCTGTGGTAAGGGCAGCAGCAGAGATAGGCAGGCAGTGGTGACCATTATGAGGCGTCAAGGAAGTGACTGTTGAACTGGGCCTGGAAGGGAGAGGAAGAGTTTGTGCAGTGGAGAGAGGTGGAGGGAAGGGCACCTCAGGGATAGAAGGGTTGCAGAGGGAAGGGTGTGCAGAGGCTGGGAGGAGCAAAGATTGGCTCAGGTTATCACGGAGCATCAGCCATGCCCTTGCTGCCACCATTAATGTACTCATTACTCTGTGATCTATTCAGCAGATAGCCTTAGATCCACTGTCTCCATCTTGGTAGAAGCTGGCGTGTGCTGAGAATTGTACCCTTGCGCATCCTTGTGAGTAAAATTGGACTCAAAGGTGCATATGACCTGTGAGAACGCGTCCAAATCAACCGACAGAGAAAACTGAGAAGTTGAAGGGTGCGGGCGCCGGTGCTGCACTTCCCCTCCGGCCCCACTCGTGCCTGCCCTGCTCTCCTCAGGCGAGGCCCTGCCCAGATATGTTCAAAGCGAGCTCTGACTGCCCTGCTCTGCCACACGGTGCCTGGTGACAACTTCGGCACCCACCTCTCCTGAGGGAGGCAGCCCCCTGGGACGAGGATGGGAGGAAACAGGGTGAGCAGCATGTCAGGATTATGCCAGCAACTGGGTTTTGTCCAGATTCATCTCTTCAGGTTAAAGTGCACGGCAGGGCCAAGGACGGTGGCTCACACCTGTAATCCCAGCACTTTGGGAGGCTGAGGCAGGCGGATCACCTGAGGTCAGGAGTTTGTGACCAGCCTGGCCAACATGGTGAAATCCCGTCTCTACTAAAAATAAAAAAAGTAGCTGGGCTGATGGCAGGAGCCTGTAGTCCCAGCTACTTGGGAGGCTGAGGCAGGAGAATCACTTGAACCTGGGAGGCGGAGGTTGCAGTGAGCCGAGATTGCACCACTGCACTCCAGCCTTGGGCAACAGAGGGAGAGTCTGTCTCAAAAAATAAAAATAAAAATAAAAAATAAAGTGTGGGGCAGGACACCTTGGAGGTTCGCGCCTGGGCTGCACTGAGAACGGCAGTCAGTTCTGCGGAACCCAAACGAGGGCGCTGCCCTTGTCCTGTGCCCATCTCACAGCCATGGCAACCCTGTGGTGTTACTGCTGCTGTGCCCATTTTATAGCTGAGAAAACCAAGGCCAGGAGAGGCACCAAACCCAGTGGGGGTCCAAGGGCACAAGGCCAGCTGGTGAGTGGCAGTCAAACCCATGTCAGTGTTTTGGGGTCTTGTTAAGCCTGTGCTTTTTACCAAGGGTTTGATTTCTTACTCTGGCAGTACTCATAGTGTTAGTTTCTTCTCAGAAATCTGAAGCTGTACTCGGGAGGCTGAGGCAGGAGAATCGCTTGAACCTGGGAGATGGAGGTTGCAGTGAGCCGGGATTGCACACTGCACTCCAGCCTGGGTGACAGAGCAAGACTCTGTCTCAAAAAAAAAAAAAAAAAGAAAGAAAAAGAGAAAGAAAGAAAAAGAAAAGAAAGAGAAATCTCTGAAGCTGGGGGCTGGGCGCGGTGGCTCACGCCTGTAATCCCAGTACTTTGGGAGGCAGAGACAGGCAGATCACTTAAGCCCAAGAGTTTGAGACCAGCCTGGGCAACATGGCGAAACCCTGTCTCTACTAAAAATGCAAAAAAAATTAGCCAGGTGTGGTGGTGGGTGCCTGTGGTCCCAGCTACACGGGAGGCTGAGACGGGAGGGTGGCTTGAGGCTGGGAGGTCGAGGCTGCAATGAGCTGTGACCTCACCACTGCACTCCAGCCTGGCCAATAGAGAGAGACTTTGTCTGGAAAAAGGAAAAAAGAAATCGGAAGCTGGGCTGTCACTCTCCACCTCACCCTCTCCCCTTGCAGGGACCGCAGCCCCCGCCCCCCAGGATTTCGTTCCTGTGGACGCTGCTTTGGTTCTCCAGCCCTGTTTTTTCCCTTTGGCATCGTCTGTCCTTCCTTCTTCATTTCCTCTTGGCTGTATATTTCTGTTTAATAAGGCCAGGGCTAACGCCAACACCAGAGTCAGCAACTACGCCCTCGGACTAAAAACTTTAATAAGAAACAGAAAACCTGGAGGAAACGGCGCTCCTGCCAAGTGTATAAATTGTGCCAGCTCCCAGCCACATCGGAGCCCAGCACCACTCTCCTGGGCAACACTCTCTCGAAGTGCCTCCCAGCACGCCCCGCTGTCTGCCAGCCCCCTGCGTCAGCCCCGTCTTTGGAGTCACCCCTGCTGCCCCATCACCTTATTTCTTCCAGAGGAACCAGAAATCCAGAGTTGTGTGTGAAATTGCCTGATTTTTAACTCTGGGCTATGAGTTCCCGTGTTTTAAAACACTCTGCAGACCAGACAAAACATCTGTGGGTCACGGCTGTCACTGTGCAGCCTCTAATCTAGAAAGGATCCTGGATTTCCTATCGCAGACTTGGCCAGGCTCAATTTTTCTTTTCTAAAATCCTTCTTAACTAACTTGTTAGATTTCAGAGCTGTAGTTCAAGCTGAGTCAGAAGGATTTCACTCTAGTTGGCAACAGCTAGAAAATGAATGCTTAGAAACATTTCCGCCCTCAGATTCACTCCGTGGAGCCCCCTGGGGCGGTGGGGGCTCAGCTGGGTGGCCGAGAGTAGATGACAGGAAGGGAAGGCGCTTCTACATTGGTGGGAAGCTCACCATCGGGAAGAGGGACCGCGGACAGGGCTGCCCTGTCACAGGAGGGAGAACTGTGCAATCCCCAGGGTGTGCGGGGTGGGTGAGCTGTGAGCCAGGCAGGGCGCCACAAAGGTCATTTGGCCCAGGGGTTGGTGACAGTGCCCCTGAGGGAGGCTCAGGCCCGTCGCCGCGTGTCCAGTGTTCAGGGCTGATACCAAGGTCAGGTAGCTCAGCCAAGGTGTAGGGGCGACTTTGAGGTGGGACTGGCGGAGTCTCAGCTGGAACCAAGCCCGCGAGGCCCATCCGACCCCAGAGCTGCAGCCGGCCCCTCCTCCAGTCGTCCTCCCTGCTGGGGCATGCCTGCATGTGAGGATTTGAGAGTCAACTGGGGCCATAGTCTGAGTGCACACAGCCTCTCACCCTCTAGGCCTGGGGTGCTGCCTGGTGACACTGGTCGAACCCATGTAGGATAGGGAAGTGGAGATATTTGGATGTGCGTTTCAGGGTCTAACTCCTCATCAATTCTGCACAGAACATTTTTCCTTTGGCATTTTATATGTATTTATTATGTATTTATTTTTAATTGACAAACATTGTCTATATGGTGTGCGGCATGATGTTTCTGATACATGTCTACATGGCAGAGAGAGACGTCAACCTCATGAACATCCATTAGCTCATGGACTTAGCATTTTTTTGTAATGAGAACACTTAAGATCTATTCTTAGCAATTTTCAAGAATACAAAACCTTGTTATTAACCACAGTCATCATGTTATACAATAGATCTTTTCTTTGTGAGACAGGGTCACACTCTGTCACACAGGCTGGAGTGCAGTTATGTGATCACGGCTCACTGCAACCTTGACCTCCTGGGCTCAAGGGATCCTCCTGCCTCAGCCTCTTGAGTAGCTGGGACTGCAGGTGCACACCACCACGCTGGGCTAATATTTATTTGTTTATTTATTTTAATATTTTTTTCCTTTTAAGCAAATTTAGGATGGACTAGATTGAATAATTTTATTATTCAACATTTTATTTTTCAAGAGAGATAGGGTCTCACCGTGTTACCCAGGCTGATCTCCTGGGTGCAACCCATCTTCCTGCCTGGACCTCCCAAAGTGCTGGGATTACAAAGGTGAGCCACCTTGCCCTGTGGACAGTAGCTCTCTTGAATTTCTTCCCCCTGTCTAATGAAACTCTATATCCGTTGGCCAATGTCCCCCAATCCCCTGCCGCCAAGTTTCTGAAGCCTCTCTGCTTCCATGAGCTCTATTTTTTTTTTAGATTCCACATATCAGTGAGATCATGTGGTGTTTGTCTTTCTGTGCCTGGCTTATTTCACTTAGCGTCATGTCTTCCAGGTTCACACATATTGTCTCAAATGACAGGATTTCCTCCTTTTGTAAGGCTGGATAGTATTCCATTGTGTATACACCACATCTCTTTATTCCTTTGACATTTTAAACACAAGGGTGAAGAAGCACGCCCAGGACCTGCAGGCCAGCGGCCTGGCTTTGCACTCTCCCCAGCATGCTCTTTTCAAAACCTTTTGTGAGTCCTTTGATTCCATCCAGACTGCACATCTCAAGAGGGTCATGCATAAGTGACATTGATTATGGGAACCTGCCGTGCAGACACGTGGCATGAATTTGGTGCTGGCCTTAGTTCTGGAACTGGCTGCCCTTTTCCTAGGTGCTGGTTGGGTGCTATTCTGCATGTGCCCTCAGTGGTTCCTCCAGCTGGGTTCCACATTAACGTGACTCAGTACTTCGGGCCACATCTAGAAGGGCCTGGAACCTAAGGTCTTGCCTCTTAAATCCTGGCCCGTGGCATGGTCATTTGTTTCAACCCTTGTTTTGTGCCTCCTTTTCATTCTACCCTGCTGAACTGTGTTAGTCTGTTCTCATGCTGATGATAAAGACATACCTGAGACTGGGCAGTTTACAAAAGAAAGAGATTTAATGGACTTACAGTTCCACCTGGCTGGGGGGGCCTTACAATCATGGCAGAAGGCAAGGAGGAGCAAGTCACATCTTACATGGATGGCAGCAAGCAAAGAGAGAGGAGCGTGTGCAGGGAAACTCCCCTTATAAAACCATCAGATCTCAGGAGACTTATTCACTGTCACAAGAACAGCACGAGAATGACCTGCCCCCATGATTCAATTACCTCCCACTGGGTCCCTTCCACAACACGTTCAATTCAAGATGAGATTTGGGTGGGGATACAGCCAAACCATATAATGGACTAACTTTATTATTGTAATTTCTCTGAGTGCTTTCTGGACAGAAGAAAAGACTTGAAGATGAAGCGTCTCTTGTTACCTGCCATGGAGGGGTGTTCTCTTCCAGTTTCCAGAAGGCCATCACCTTAACCCAGGTCACATCCTCTCGAGGTGTGAAGTTTCCTGGGAGCTGGAATTGGAGCCAGAGGAGTCTGAACAAGGACAGGAGGGTGGTGTGGGGGGGAACACTTCATCTCTCCAGGGGTCAAGGTGTTTAGGGCCCCAGACCTGTTCGTCTCCCCTGGACAGGACAAGATACACACCTACCAAGCCAGCCTCCCTGAGGCCTGCCTAGCTGTGCTCACATGACTGATGCTGTCCCTCCTGACCCGCACTGAATAGCTTCGGCCTCCCACCCCAGGGCAGAAGGGGCCGACGGATGCAGCCTAAGGTCCTCACCTCTGGCTGGGTCAAGAAGGTGGGTGTGCGGGGAGCTTGCTAAACCTTGAAGGGGCACACACACTGAGCAGTCATTCATTTCCTTGTCTCCCCCAACCCCATCTCAGGCTGCCCTGGCTGGGCTTTGCTGCCATGAGGAGCAGCCCTCGGGGTGCAGGGACGTGGGCATATCTGCCCTGGAGCCAGCAGGAATCAGTCAGGAGGGGGAAAGCAAGTCCGTGACCTTATAGCCCAGGAACAATAAAAAGGGGTTGGTGTCCTACTTGGCTTGCAGCAGTGCTAGCTGCACCTGGTCCTCCTGGAAGGAAGTCGCTGTGAAGCTTGCTGGCTGTGCCACTCTGGACTGGAGGCTGACGGCTTCTGGAGGCTGACGGCTTCTGGAGGCCGATGGCTTCTGGAGGCCAGGCTTGGCCCCACTCTTCCCCTGCTCAAGTCACTATGGTGTGGGGAGGGAGAGGTATATGGATGGAGCTTAGACTACTTTTAGGGCAGTGGAACTACTCCGTGTGATACTATAGCGGTGGCTACGTGTCATTACACAGTCGTCCAAACCCACAGGATGTATGCTACCAAGAGTGAACCCTAACGTACACTATGGAATGTGGGTGATGACTCGTCAGTGTGGGTTCATCAGCCGACAGACGTACCCTCTGGTGGGGATGCTGATCATGGGGGAGGCTGTGCGTTTGTGGGCTGAGGGGATATGGGAACTCTCTGCACTTTCCACTCTATTTTGCTGTGAGCCTAAGACTGCTTTGAAACCATAAAGTCTTCTTTAGAAACACTATGGTAGCTCCTCCCTGCCCAGCCCATGGTATTCCTCCCCCTTAACCCATGTCCTAGCCATGAGGAATTTATTTCCCATGTTGCCTTTCACACATGGAAAGTTCTAGACAAAACAAGTTGATCCAGACAGACTGAGCTCTTCCCAGAGCTGTTTCTTGCCTGCCCTTTCGACGCATCAAAATCCTCCCTCCCTTCAAGGCTCTGCTCACACACAGCCTTTCTGATCAGTCCTTCCCTGCCCCTCCATGCGCCACTGGCCCCGTGCATTTCCGCAGTGCACACAACGTCTCCCTTAGAGCAGCTCTCCTGGGTGCCTCCCAGGTCCTGCCACCTGGCCCAGCCCTGAGCCCCTCCAGGACAGCAGCTGGTCTCATCCTGCTCCACTCTCCACAGCGCCTGACCCAGGCCACGGCCTGAAGGGTGGCAGCCCGTACCTCTGGGAAGCCTGGACTCACGTGTACCTGCGCACCCACCTGCTGGTGCCCCAGGACAGTTTCTGAATCTGGGAGCGAGAAGTTCCCAGAAGTGGGAAGTAGGCGTTTGGATGATATGCTAGAAAGAAAAGAGAGCCACATTGTACGATGGCAGCCTGCATCTGTTCAGCAGCAGAATCCCATGGGCCCTCTGCAGCCTGCTCGTCCTTGGTTTGACCCCGCCCCCAGCCTCCCTAACATGTCAGGGCTCCCGGCTCGTACAGTGGGACCTAGTGTTCACCTAGGGTCTCCTCCATTCAACACGGTGGTGAGGCCAGATGTTGCAGCCACCAAGGGAAGCCCCAGTCTACCACAGTGGGCTTGGAGCTCTGTATAAATGTGCAGGACACTGACTGCCAAGGGTGCTTTGCATTAGCAAAATGGAGATCACTCCACCTTCCATGGGACCTTGCTGATACTCTGGCTGCTGCTTCTTGCCGCTCCAGAGGAGAAACGGGCACACAGAGAGGCGTGACCCACCCAAGGCCAAACGCCCCTCTCAGACGTGGAGCTCCCGTCAGCTTAATGATAGAAAATGCACTAAGCGCAGCAGCTCCCATCTGGACATCATCGGAAGACTCGGAGCGGATGCCATTGGTGGTTTCCAAGCAGATCAAGCTAGTGCTGATGTGTATTCCAGTGATACCCTCAGATAACGATTTGGCTAAAGGAAATGTCTGACGTGACCGCAACTGAATTTTGTCTGATAGCAAATGGACTGTTCAGCAGTCAGCCCAAAACCCAACCAGAGAAGAGTCTGAAATCCCTGCCATGTAAAATTCAGTTTCAACAAACACGCACCAAATGACCACCCCATTCCAGGTCCGTAGGAGACACCTGGAATGCAGAGGTGAAGAAAGCACAGCCCATCTGGTGTGGCCAGGAAGGCGAGCAAGCCAGCCACTCATGCCAAGTGGGCCACGTGGGGCTGCAGAGGAGGGCAGGACCCTGCTTCCTGGGTGAAGGAGTCAGAAAAGCTTTTATGGAAGAGGCGACATCTGCTGTGAGCCTCAGCAATAGATAATGATTTAGACCAGCAGAAGCACAGGCACGGAGGAGGAACGTGCTTCCGGCGAGGTTTGGGATGCTCAGTGTGGCTGCACCACCGTGGCAGCGGCAGGATGCTGTTTTGGTTCTAGGGGTAGCTGGAGAGTGGGTTGGGGGCTCACATAGAGAGACACGAGGACTTGTTCTAGTCACAGTGATCACCGACACATTTTCGCAGGGCGGGTGATCTGAAAGCACTCTGTTGGGGCAGGGTGGAAGTTGGTCTGGAAAGGTCAGATGGGAGTGCAGGTGCAGAAGACGCCGTGAGCAAAGATGCACAAGAGATGATGGCCCCAAACTGGAACCAGCCCAGGAGGATGCAGGGAAGGGCGGATGGGAGCTGGGAAGACAGACCCCAGCGACCAGGTGGAGCCACACCAGCAGGGCACCTGGAGTCAAGCTAACCTGGTGCACCAGAGGATGGAGGACGCAGCGCCCATCGTGGGGTGCAGAGGGAACCTCGGGCAAGGCAGCGGTGCCCCTCCCCACTGGACAGCCAAGCTGGGCTGGGAGCAGGCCCTTCAGCCAGCAGAGTTGCAGAGTGAACCCTGGGCTCCGGGGAGGAAGAGGTGAATCAGACCCAGCCCTGCCCTTGGGGACTCGCCTCCTCGTAGGGTAGATGGAGCTTTAACAGATGGTCCCCATGGGGCTGGGCCAGATGCTGAGGACACAGCGGCAGATGATCACCTGGCACTGGGGGCGTCATCTGAAGCGAGCTCAGATGAAGAGGTGAACTCACAGGCCGTGAGGAGTGACCCACTTGAGGAGGGCTGGAGTGGGGCTTGAACTGGGCGTGTCTGCTTCCAAGCCTGTGGTGCGCTTGACCATCCCCCCTTCCTGCTGTGTTCACTGACTCCAGATGTTCCCAGGCCTTGCCCTCGAGGAGCTCCCCATGTGGCCAGGAGACCATCACAAGCCAGTGCCCAGCGCTGAGGGTAGGGGGAGTGGGCCCCCTCCCAGGTCACAGAGGACTCCTGGGTGTGAGAAAGGTGACATCAGAACTGGGCGTGGAGAACAAGACATGGCTTTCCAGGCAGAGAACAGGAAACGCAAGGGTCTGCCGGGAACAGCACGCAGTTGTCGAGGAGAAGAGAGGGGCCACTGCATGCCTGGCGGGTGCTGGGCGGGCCGTGGGGTGAGGCTGGGGCATGTGGTAGAGACCAGGAAGCAGCCAGGTGGGCCCAGCCAGACCTGAGGACCCCTCATCCCTGCCAAGGAGGCTTGTGCTTGATCCTGTCGACATCAGAAGAAAGAGGGATTGGGTGGCGGGTACCCGTCAAAAGAAAGAGGGATTGGGTGGCGGGTACCCGTCAGACCTGAAATGCGTGAGTGTCCGGGAGGGAGGAGGCCAGTGGGAAGCTAAGCCTTGAGCTGCCTGAGGCCATATGCAGGGAGGACAGAGCCTGGGACAGCCACCGAGGTCTCAGTGCCTCCTAGGGTTCCTCTACCCCATGCATCAAAGCACAACCTCGCTCTCCCACACCATCTGCCTGAGCAGGGTTTCCTGTGCGCTGGGGCTGGACCCCATATCTAATGTTCCTGGATGGAGTCCCAGGAAAACAATTTTGCTTATTTATCACACACACACACACACACACACACACACACACACGCACACACAGCAACATCATAAAGCCCACCCCAAAGAGAAATTACAAAGAGATTGTTATTGCCCCTACGGTTTATTCTTTACTGCTGTATCTGCTTGTGCATCTGTTTATTCGCCTGACAGGAAGAGCCCATTGCTTAATAAATTCAGGCTGTATTGGCGAGGGTTGTGAGTGAGCAGCTCGGAGCCCAGGCTTCCAAGCCAGTTCAGCCCCAGGCACTGGAAATGCTGGCTGTGCCTGCTGGAGGCTGGGGCCTGGGCAGGCTCCCTGCAGTGTGCCCTGAAACCTGCAAGGTGCCGGCTTCCCCATAGGTGAGGGGGAGCCCCTGTGCAGTTCATCAGCAGAGTCATGGGGGATGGGGGCACTTTTTGTAGATCCAGGTGCCTTAGGCCCACCCAAGACCTCGTGACTCAGAGCCTCTGGAGTGGGGACAGGAAAAGCTGTCCGGGTGATTCTGCTAATCAAAGGTGCAACTGCTGGGCCGGGTGAGTTCCCAGGCGCCTCCCCGACCACCCTTCTAGAACTATAATTCGGTGTCTGCTGATGTTGGAGATGGGAGAGGCAGGATCAGATAGCCTTAGGAAGACGGCCCGTGAGGGATGATCATGGCCTCAACTCCACCAGATGAACAAGCTCCTGCATCTCAGGGGACCAAGGCTGAGTACTCTCTGCACAGGCGGGCCCCACCTGTGGGCCTGCTCCACCCTCAGCTCACCCTCCTGTGGGCCTGCTTCACCCTCAGCTCACCCTCCTGGGGGCCTGGAGCTGCCAATCCCAAACCAAGAGATTCAAAACCTAGAAATGAGGCAAGCAGATATCAGGAGGAAGAAGGAAGAAGACGGACTTCCTGTAAGGGGCGGGGGCCAGGCAGTTCTGGCCATGTGTGGAGCTTTCTTCTCAGACTTACAAGGGACGTGGGCTTAGGCGGGAGGGAGGGAAACAAAGCCAGGGAGGGGCCCAGAAACCAACAGGCGGAAATGTGCAGAAAAGCACACGCGGCTTTAAATGTCCATGTGGCACAAGATCAAAGAAGAGCTCCCCATGTGACCCGGGGCGGGACCGAGGTGGTAGCCAGACCACTGGTGCCTTGAGTCCTGGATTGCCACTTTTACCTCAGGTGGAGGGGTCTGATGGGGAACAGTCAGGAGGGCCGCAAAGCGAAGGGTGTGTGGGGAGGTTCTAGGAGGTTCTCCCACATAGCAGGTGCTGACCACGTGTGACAAATCCCATTACGTGAACCTACGTGTCCACACCCAGATGGGTTGTGCCAGAGTGTGGAAAGGACTTGCTAATGTGATCATAGAAATAGGCTGTGTCTTTGAGGAAGAACAGAGGGTGATGGATAGGCCATCAGAACCATGCCAGTTTCCAGAGGGATGGATTCGGGAAACTCTAGCGCAGTGAGCCAGTGTCAGACCTGCAGCCGACACCCACAGCCGGTGGGGAGGTGAAGCAGCCATCGGCTCTGTGGCCGAGTGACGGGGCGCTCCTGTGGGACTGTGGGTCGAGGGAGTGTTTAATTCCAGTGTATTTGGACTTCATATGGGTGCTGACCAAAACGTCCTAATGTGTTTTTGTCTGAAAAGGAGACATTTGGGACCAGAGTCTGGCTGGGAGTGTAGCTGGTTGGTTAATAGTCACACAAGTCTAATTAGAACTATGACTGACCCGTAGTAGGACTCAATAGATACTGAATGAATGAAGGAGTGAGTGAATCAGTGAATGAGTGAGTGCACTGTGTCAGCCAGGAGGTATTTCTTCTTCTGGACTGTAGGTTCTACACTTAGGCTATCCTGTCAGTGTTTTCAACAACTTGGAGATGCAAAATGTATACAGTGATCAAATTAGCAGATAACAAGAGGATGATAGGTCCTATAGGAGAGGCCAGAATTAACATGTGATAAAACCTTGATACACTGTAACTCTAGGGCATGGGCTGATGCTTAGTGCCCCGCAGTTATGTTGTCTGACTCCCTAAAAATACTGCTCACACCTGTTAGGACACTGTTGCTTGTCATAAAAACAGCCAACTTGAATTGACTTAAAGCCAAAAAACAAAACAAAACAAAATATGTGGGGTTGCTGTGGGAGTGGGTTGCTGTGGGAGTGGATTGCTGTGGGGGTGGGTTGCTGTGGGGGTGGGTTGCTGTGGGGGTGGGTTGCTGTGGGGGTGGGTTGCTGTGGGAGTGGATTGCTGTGGGGGTGGGTTGCTGTGGGGGTGGGTTGCTGTGGGGGTGGGTTGCTGTGGGGGTGGATGTGTCATAGATTTGGCTTCTGTAGGGTGGGTCGGGCTGCTGGGCTGTGCCATGGGCTGGGCTGTGCCATCGGGCAGCCTCTCCCAGTGCTTGGGATGCTTTCCTCTGTGCCGGCTTCACCTTCAGGAAGTGGAGTCTTCAAAGTTCTAGCCTTACTCCTTTCTTGCAGCTGCAGGAAGAAAGCCTCTTGTCTAATAGTTCCAACAGAAGTCCCATGGCGGAGACTCCTGGGTGACATTTTACACTCTGAGCCAGTCATTGCAGCCAGAAAAATGAGGGTGTGCCCGTGAGCCAGGCCAGAGTCACCTGCCGGTGGCAAGGGTGGGTGGGAGAGGCTAAGACTTAACAAATCCAGGTGGACTGAGAGTGGGGAGGGTGGCTCTTCAAAGGAAAAGTGAGGTGCTGGTGGCAAAAAAAAGAGAGAGTGGCTGCTTGGCAGGCCACAGGCACCCCTCGGTGAAGTGAGCTTAGCCTGGATTCGGTATCAGCCCAGAGGCTGGTGTCGTGCTGTGGGCCCACTGAGACACAGAGCTGTCCATGGTTCAGTGGGACATGCCCCCACCAACCCCGGGGCCTGTGGTTGAGCCGCTATTCGGACCCACAGCCGCCTGGCTCCAAACTCAGCCTCCCTCCATTCACTTGGGCTCTGGGTGGAAATGGGAATGGTGTGTCTGTCTAACAGTTCACAGGCAGGGACAGGAGGAGCCGCTCTGCACACCACCTCTCACCAGCTGAATGTGTTCCCACCTCAATGCCCTGCCACACCTGCAGCGACGTCCGCTAAAAGTTGGACCTAGGAAGCCTCCTTGTTGCTTGTAACAATGACCCCGTATCTGCAGGAGGGGAGGAGGGAAGCTTTGCATAAGCATCACTACTCCTTTATCTCCCACTCAGCATTTCCTAGGGGGCGTCCAGTGACTCCCTGTGTGATGTCAGCTTGTGGTTTGGAGACAGAGTTCCAGAGTGAGATGGTGGAAAATCCCTGGAGGGGAGGCGGGAATGTCAGGATGTGGAGCCTGCCCGCCTGCTGACTGGTCTTGCTGGACCTTACTTAGCTCATCTGCAGCAGGAGACAGTGAGAGCCGGTGCATGGCTCAAGCACACATAGGGAAAGCACCTGTCTTGGAGGTGACTGCGGTTCCCAAGGGGTCACAGGTCCAGCATGGAGTCGGTGATCCCAGGAGAAGAATTGGGAGCCGTCAGGGTTGGGGTGGTAGTGATGGTGGGAATGTGCTGTGCAGAGGTTCTGGTGGAGGCAGTAGGAAAACATGAGTCCTGTAGGGGGGTGTATGATGGAGACAAGGCCAGGGGGCCAGGGGTTGGGTTGAAGGTGGAGGTGGGGAGAAGGGCCCTGTAGGAGGGAGGTGGAGCCCGCAGAGGAATGGTGAGGAGACATGAGGAGAGCGAGACTCTAAGAGCATCAGCTTCTACCCTCCTCAGGCCACATGTGCCCACATTCACACCAAGATCATTCCTCAGAGCAAGGGCTCGAAAGCCTTAACCCAATATTCACTCAAAGACAAGTGACTCCACAGGAGAAAAGCCTTCAGATCTCTCCCAATCCTTCCAGCTGACTCAAGAGATCGTCTCAGTTTGTCCCTAGTGCCTCTTTAACACTCCTTTAATACTTGTCAATTTCCTTTTTGACAAACAGAATAGACCTTATGGCAGGGAAGAGTGGTTTTCCTTTTGTGGTAGTAATTTAGGTTTCATTTTAAAATATATTTTATTTAAGTAAGAAAGTTTAAAGAAAAAATGTTTTTTAAAAACATGGTGTGAGTGGCACAAGAATAGCTAGAGACCCAGCAAAGACCCTGACAGCAGCTCCAGGCAGCCTTTGCTTGGATGTAGCAAGGATGTGGCCAGAGTGTGTCCCTGAGACGTGTTCAGTCCAGCCCTGTTTGCCAAGTCCAAAGCCGAATGTCAAAAACGTCTTCTGTTGTTCTTCAGCGTCGTGTTGGCCTGATAAAGCCCACACAGCTGCTCGAGGTTAAGCCCCAGGTGCGTAGCATTTCTCTCCCATCACATTGGCTCTGTTGGCCCGCCCAGGGACGTGGAGCTCTTTGGGTCCCCCGGTTCCCTGAAGGATGTCACAGCAGAAGTATAGCAGCAGCCGGTGCACCTGCTCCGTGTGGGATGAGGACAACACCTCCTGAACACTCCATGACCAGGTGTGCCATGCAAGTTTCTAGTATGTTTCTCATTCGAAACATATTATGTTTCATGACCCAAATAGGGAGGTGTAATTCTCACTTTTAAGGTGGGGACACCGAGGCTCAGAGAGGTGTTTGCCAACAGTTCTGCATCTGGCAGTCTAGTGAGGGATTTGAACACAGATCTGTGTGCGGTCAGTTCTCCTGCTCTTTGCCGGGCAGGCCCCTAGGCACGACTGCAGCCCTCCATCCCCCCCCACATGAGGCCCAGCCTGGCTCCCCAGGAGCATGCGGTTCCCATGGCAGCTTCTCCCTGGATGTGTGCGTCATCCTTGCAGGGCTGCCGCCACTTTAAATTGACCTGTCCCCGCTGGGAAAAGATTTTGCAATCTAATAAAGAAACGTACTTTCCTTGAAAAAAAGCTTCGCAGTTTCTATTCTTATTCTACTTTCTGTGAAATTCAGTGACTAGGTTTTCGCAACTGAGAAATCCCTACACTTGGTCTGATAAAGAATTTGGGGCCAACCGAGAAATCTCTGTGCTTGGTCTGGCGAAGAATTTGGGGCCACTTCTGGGCAGGAGAGGCTATCCCTGGAGATGTGGTTCGCATGTCAGCAGGCTGGCATCCCAGGACATTTGAGAAGCTTATGGGACCACGGAAGAGAATTGTGGGGTGGGAGTTGCCCCCAAAGACCTATGATGCGAGCGGCTGCTTGTCTCACCCGAGGCTCTGGCCTCAGGAAAAGCTTTTCCGCTCCCGTAAGCTCACCCTTAACCCCACCCCTGCTCCACGGACCTCCTCTGCAGCCCTCCTCGTTCTCCACTGGGCTCCTCTGCTCCCTCTCCCTTCACCCTTGAGGAAGATGCTTAGTTTCTGGGAGCCATCCCAGTCCTGCTCCATCTTCTCCCTAGAAATAGGCTATTTCTGAGTTTCTGTCTGTCCTCCTTTCCCTTCAAAGAAGTGGCCTGGGCCCCCTCCCAGCTTGGGCTTTGCACACAAGATCTGAGCTCTGCGACTTTACTAAGTGAACATTTGCTGGACATACAGAGCCAGCGTGCAGCAGGAGAGAAATGTAGACTGGGTTTTCACTCCACACCTCTCTCGGGAATCTTTTTATTTAACCAGACAAGGAAAATGAACACTTATGAGCAACCTGCACTCTGACAGGGGCCATGACAGTCCCTTCATGATCTTTTTTTTGAGACAAGAGTTTCGCTCTGTCACCCAGGCTAGAGTGCAGTGGTGTGATCTCAGCTCACTGCAAACTCCACCTCCCGGGTTCAAGCAATTCTCCTGCCTCAGCTTCCCAAGTAGCTGGGATTGCAGGCACCCACCACCACATCCAGCTAATTTTTTGTGTGTTTTTAGTAGAAACGGGATGTCACCATTGTTGGCCAGGCTGGTCTCAAACTCCTGATCTCAAGTGATCCACCTGCCTCGGCCTCCCAAAGTGCTGGGATTACAGGCGTGAGCCACTGCACCCAGCCCCCTTCACTATCTTATTTCGTCTTGGCAGCAACCCAGAAGTGGGGTGTTGGTGGAAACCGAGGCTGAGAGAGGTTAAATGACTTGCCCAGGGTTGCATGAATATTTACTGCAGTGCCAGAATCAAAACTGAGCCAGACCCCCAAGCCCCTTTCAGCCTGGAGAGCTGCCATCCTGCGACTCTGTGCTTTCTGTCTTTATAGATCACCCTTTCCTCTTCCAAAGCAAATCAGAAGCCTTTTATTAGACAGTTGGATTTGACATCTGGTTCTGAACAAAAATTTACACCAAATATTAACTACAGTCATGTAAAGGTGATGGAATCTGGATCATTTTCTCCCTTTATTTTTAAATTGTTTTCACAGGAACCTTTATAAACAGGCATTTAATATATAGGTGCAGATTTTATATGAGTGGGGGCTTATATACAAATCACACATGGGTATATCATGTTTACACACATACACATACACACACATACACACACACAGATACACACACAGATACACATACACACATACACATACACACATACACACATACACATACATACACACACATACACATACACATTAGACACATACACACGTACACATACACACACACACTAGACACATACACACATACATACACGCATACACACATACACATACACACACATACACATACACATTAGACATACACACGTACACATACACACACATACACACACTAGACATACATACACACATACACACATATACACGCATACACACACATATATACGCATACGCACATACACATACGCATACATATACACACATACACACATACACATACACACACATACACATACACACATACACATACACATACACACATTAGACATACACACGTACACATACACATACACACAATACACACATTAGACATACATACACATACACATACACACACATACATACATACATATACGCACACGCATACACACATATACACACATATACATACACACACATACACATACACACATACACACATTAGACACACATACACACGTACACATGCACACACATACACATACATACACATACACATTAGACATACACACATACACATACACACACATTAGACGTACACACGTACACATACACATACACACACATTAGACCTACACACGTACATACACATACACACAATACACATACATTAGACATACATACACATACACATACGCATACACACACATACACACACATACATATACACACACGCATACACACATATATACACATACACATACACACATATACATACACACACATACATACACATACACACATACACATACACACACATTAGACACACATACACACACACGTACACATGCACACACATATACATACACATACACATTAGACATACACACACATACACATAAACACACATACACACATACACACACACATACACACACACATACACATACACACATACATACACGTACACACACACATACACGTACATACACACACACACACACACATACACACATTTTAAATCTGACCTGACATTAAGCAAAATAACAACTGAAAATTTCAGCTGATGGGTAAATTCCTTTATATTTGGGACAAACATGTGAAAGCAAGGGTGATACCCATCAGCCTAGAGTCAAAGGCTGGCCCCTGGAGGCCGCCTGCCTCTTGGTATCATTCAGAGCAGATTCCAAAATATGTTTTCCTTCAAAGAACTCACTTGTTTCCCCAGCGGACGGTTAAAACCTCAAAGGCGCACAGTTCCCCAGTGTGCTGTTCCCAGCAAGAGCCTGCATGCCCGGCCTGATTTCATTGTGAGTTCTCTGAGTCGAGGCTGTGCGGCCCCAGCCCTGCAGCCAAGCTGACCCCCCGACCCCAGGGGGCAGAGGCACTTCCGCCGGCTCACAGAAAAGGCATTCTCCTGAGGGCGTGGACAGACCAGAAGCCTGTGAGAAGGGAAGGAGGTCACCATCTGAGGGGATGCACTACCCGGCACTTCAGAAAGCAGGTCACTGGGCAGGCGCCCTCAAGGTCACTTCCTGCTGGGAAGCCCCAGGTCACCAGGGAGGGAACCCGTGCTTAATGCAATTAGATACTGAAAGAACAGAAGGGAACAGGAGAACAGCATCGAGTAAAGGGAAGTACATCTTTAGCTCCGTTCATTTTCCTTTCTTCTGCAGACTTTAGACAATACTTGCATTTGACTCGAAGCACTGTTTGGAAAAGGCCAGCCTAACTTTTGTTGAGCATCCACGAGCGTCAGGCTTTGTGTTAGACTTTTTTTTATGCAGCATCTCTAATTATCTGGAGAGGTGGGCACGGGTGTGCTGGGTTGGAGAGGCTCAGTGCGCAGACCCCAGGGGGTTGCAGTGGGGACCAGCACCAGGGTTCCTGAGGCTCGGAGCCCTGGCATCTCCTCCTGCTGCATAGCCAATCTCGGTGCCAGGCGGCCGGGGGAGGGTGCGTAACTCCTGCCCAGGCATCACTCTGCTGGGTTTGGCGCGTGCCTCCTCCTCAGGCAGCCAAGCCGGCTCTGCTCCGGCGGCAATGGCTACTTTAATGTGGGGACTGGGGAGGCGCTGACTTTTGCTTTCCTTTGCCTTTTTTTTCCTGTGTCTCGCCTTCTCTCCCTTAACCCTTTGCACCCTGCCTTTCTCTTTCTGGGAAGAAGGAATGCATTCCTGAGGCAGAATGCCTCCTCCCACCCCTGCCTCCAGGGCTCAGGCCCCTCTCCTGAGGCAGTCGATCCTGGTGTCTTCTGGTTCTCCCCAGACATACCTCAAACAAATGCCCCCTCTTTTAAACAAGCTGTGGAATGCTTTACCCCCTGTGCTGCGCCTTGCCTTTTTTCATAACAGCTTTATTGATATACAGTTCACAGACCGCAGACTCCAGCTGTTTAAAGTGCACCACTCGTGGTTTTCAGTGTGTTCAGAATTGTGCAGCCAGCATCACAATCAACTTTAGACCATGATCGTCACCCTAAAAGAAGTCCTGTACCCATTGGCTGTCCTCCTCCCCTCCGCAACCCCAGGCGGCCACTCCTCTGCTTCCCGTCTCTGTGGCTTTGCCTATTCTGGACATTTCTTAGAGTGGGGCCCTAAGCCTGGGGTCTTCTGTGCCTGCGTCTGTCACTGAGCACCATTTCAAGCTTCATCCATGCTGCAGCGTGCTCAGCACCTTGCGTTTTATACTTCAAGAAATCTTGGAAATCATCCCATATCAGGAAATAGAAATCTGCCTCAGTCTTTTTATTTTACTGTATTAATTTTAATAGGTAAGATATTTGCTCACTCAACATTCAAGTGGTATAATCACTGCACAAGTTGGTGAACATGTTCACTAGCTCAGTGCTGTCAATCATTTCGCAATACGCAGTCAGCCCTCTGAACCTGCAGCTCTGCATCTGTGGATTCAGCTAAACACAGATCAAAAAAAATTCAGAAAAAAATACAAACAAGCCTGTATTCCCAGCACTTTGGGAGGCCGAGGCGGGCGGATCATGAGGTCAGGAGATGGAGACCATTCTGGCTAACATCCTTGGCGGCGTGAGCCTGTGGTCCCAGCTACTCGGGAGGCTGAGGCAGGAGAATTGTTTGAACCCAGGAGGCGGCGGTTGCAGTGAGCCGAGATCGCACCACTGCACTCCAGCCTGGGCAACAGAGCAAGACTCTGTCTCCAAAAAAATAAAAACAAACCTCTTTTCTTTATAAATTACTCAGCCTTCGGTAGTTCTTTATAGCAATGCGAGAACAGACTAATATACTATGTAACCCAGGCTGGAAAACTGCATCTATTTTAGATGTATGACTTAATGTTTCCATATCTGTATAGCGTTGTGCCTTAATATCCATGGGGGATTGGCTCCAGGACCCCCCTGCAGATACCCAAATCTGGACTGCTCAAGTCCTTGATATAAAATGCTTGTTTATTTATTTTATTTATCTTATTTTATTTGAGGTTCTTTGTGGCCCAGACTGGAGAGCAGTGGTGTGATCCTAGCTCACTGCAGCCTTGAATTCCTGGTAAAATGTGTAGTATTTGCATATAACCAATACACATCCTCCATATGCTTTAAGTCATCTCTAGATTACTTATAATGCCTAATATGATGTAAATGCTATGTAAACAGTTACTATTCTGCATTTTAAAAATCCATTTTTTTTTTTTTTTGAGACAAAGTCTCACCTGTCTCCCAGGCTGGAGTACGGTGCTATGATCTCCACTCACTGCAACCTCCGCCTCCCGGTTTCAAGCGATTCTCCTGCTTCAGCCTCCCGAGTAGCTGGGACCACAGGCTCACACCACCATGCCCAACTAATTTTTTGTATTTTTACTAGAGACGGGGTTTCACCGTATTGCCCAGGCTGGTTTCGAACTCCTGAGCTCAGGCAATCCATCTGCCTCGGCCTCCCAAAGTGCTAGGATTACAGGCATGAGCCACCACACCCAACCTAAAGAAAAGAGGGTTTAATTGGCTCGCGTTTTCACAGTCTGTACGGGAAGCATAGTGGCTTCTGCTTCTGGGGAGGCCTCAGGAAACTTACAATCATGGTGGATGGTGAAGGGGAAGCAGGCACATCTTCACATGGCAGAGCAGGAGAGAGAGACAGCGAAGGGTGAAGTGCTACACATTTTTAAACAGCCAGATCGCACGAGAACTCAGTCACTGTCATGAGAACAGCACCCAGAGGATGGTGTTAAACCATTAAAACCACCCCCATGATCCAGTCACCTCCCACCAAGCCCCACCTCCAACACTGAGGATTACAGTTGAACAGGAGACTTGAGTGGGGACACAGATCCAAACCATATCACATGAGAAAACCCTGTCTCTACAGAAAGTAAAAAAAATTAGCAGGGCATGGTGGCATGTGCCTGTAGTCGCAGCTATTTTCGAGGCTGAGGCAGAAAGATCACTTGAGCCCAGGAGTTGGAGGCTGCTGTGAGCTATGATCACGATTGCACTCCAGCCTGGGCAACATAGGAAGACCCTATCCCAGTCAATCAGTCAAGCAATACCATTTTTATTTGCCAATTATACTTCAATAAAAATAGGGGAAAAGAATTATAAAACTGAAAAAAAAAAGATTCAAATGGTATAAAACAGTATCCAGTGGGAAAAGTCCCAACCACCCCTGTCCTTCAGCAACCACACTGCCTTGCCTGGGTGCCAATCACCCCTGCCTCCCGGGCAGGGTGTTTTAGGCTCATGCAAACAAACACATATGTAAATCCAGTCTTTTCTCCCTGTTTTTTGTTGGGGTTTTTTTGGTTTTTTTTTTTTTTTAACTCAACGGTAGCACAACATACACAGTTTTGTCTCTTGTTTCTACATCGTGGTCTATCTGAGATGTTTTGTCTCCCGCATGGAATGTCCTAGTTTTTTTTGAATGGCTGCGTTAAATGACACTGGGGTGAGTGCATGGGAGGGATAAATTCCTAGATGTAGACCTGCTGGGTCCAAGCGTCTGTGATGATACAGCGCTGATTCCCATCCACGGAGAGATGTCACCCACACCCTGGCCTCCTCTGTGCAGCTGAGGATGTGCTTCCCAGGAAGTGGGTACTATTTCATGTTACTACTTTATCCTAAGAGAGGAGAAGCTGCGTCCCAGGGAAGAGGTCATTTGCGATTCTCTATGACTAAAGGTGACTTGGGTATGTCTCAGAGAAACTTACGTTTCCTTTTCGGCAAATGGCCCAGTCCTATCCTTGGTTCACTCTTCTTTTGGCTATTCACATCTTCCTCACCGATTGCTAGGAATGTTTTAAGGAAGTTTTCATGTGGGTTGGAAATATTTTCTCATAGTTTTATACTTTTAACTACTTTGGGGGGTTTTGTGTTTGCATCATGAAAAAAATTTTCAATATATTCCCATTTATCAGTCTTTTATGGCCTCTGAGGTTTGTGTCATACATAAAGGGCCTTTCTCAAATCAGACATAAAAGAAATTTATAGCTTTTTTTTTACTACTGTTATAGCTTCATTTTGCTCCATTCTTTTTAAAGGCTGCATAGAGTTTCATTGCATGAGTATGCCATAATTCACTTCACCCATTTCCCATTATTGGGCATTGGAATTGTTTCCAGTCTTTTTCTATTAAACGTGACGCTGCAGTGATTCTCCTCATACATCATGCTTTTGTGCATATGTGGAAGTATATCTGAGGATGAATTCCTCAGAGTGGAGTTGCTAGATCAAAGCGTATGTGCATTTGAGATTGTGGAGTGTACATTGCCAGTTACCTTCTGAAGACGTTCTCATATATTTTCCCCTTTCAATGGTATGTGAGAGCAGCTTGCCAACTCTTCTTTTCTCAAGTGGGAAATAATTCCATTATTTTCTCCCCAAAATATTCGGTGTGAGGAGGATGGACAAACAGACGTGCTGGGCCTGGTTCTACACAAGTGTGAGAGACGGAGACTCCCCTCTCAGCAGCCCTGGGGGGCAGTTATGTTTATCTCATCTTGTACCTGGTGAGCAGGCAGACCACTGCACTCAGAGGGGCATGCTTAGAAAGAGAATGCATCTTCCAGAGTTTTTAGCCTACATTGTCTATTAGGCCACGAGAAACGGATCGCCCTTGTCTCTTAGCTGGGTGCAGCATTCCTCTCTGGAGAGAAGGTAAAGAGGTTTGTCTTTGCTGTGTATTGAAAAGAGGTCAAGAGGAGCTGTGCTTCTATATTTTATCTATTGTAATTCAAACTCCTCTTTACAATGAACTGTTGCTCCTTATGAGAATTGTAAGCGCAGTTGCTCTAAACACCTAAGGTCGTGGGGGTTTGTCTCATCTCTTCCCTCCTCCACGTTCATTCTTCAGCAGAAGTTCTCACTTCATTGGCTGAACTCTTTTTGTTTGTTAAATTTCTTTAATAGCATTTGCATCTTGCAAATTTCAAAAGTGGTCATTTTATCTGTCTCTTCTTTTAAGAGAGAGAAGATCCAAAGCGCTAAGGTGTTTTGACAACTGTGCCGTAGCTCTGCAAACTTGATCCAGTCACAGAACCGCCTGCAGCTTCTTGAAGTCTTGCACCTTCTTGGTGAGACCAGGACAGCGAGGACGATGCCCCCCTCACAGGGCCGCCCGAGAGCTGAGTAGAGAAGCCAGGATGAAAGTATCTAGCTTAGGGCCTGTGCCTTAGTCTGCTAGGGCTGCCACAACAAAATCCCACAGACCGGGTGGTTTCAACAACAGAAAGTTATTTTCTCGAAGTTCTGGAGGCTGGACATCCAAGACCAAGGTGTCATTAGAGTTGATTTCCGGCGAGGCCTCTCTTCCTGGCTTGTAGGCAGCTGCTGTTTTCTTACCTGGCAAAGACACAGAGAGCTCTGGCCTCCCCTCTTCTTATAAGAGCGCCAGTCCTTCGGGGTTAGGGCCCTGCCTTATGACCTCATTTTATTTTAATTGCCTCTCTAAAGGCCTCATCTCCAAATATAGTCACAATGGGGACTAGGGGCTTCCGCATATAAACTGGGGGGGCACAATTAGTCCCAAACAGCCTGGAACACAGAATGCAGCCCAGAGGCTGTGCACCAAGAAATCAGCACTGTCCCCAGCAGGATCCAATCTGAGATCCCCAGATGACCCCAAACCTTGCCCCGGCCTGCGCTGCTACCTCGTGTCTCCCCCACACTCCAGACGCTGTTTTCTGTCTCATCCTTCCTGTTAAAGAAACAGTGGGCCGAGTGCGGCCTCACTGGCCCCTGGGGGTCCTGTGGCAGCTCACCAGCCCTGGGGGTCATTTCTCTGCTGGCTGTTTTCACTGAGCTCCCAGTTCCCTGGGCAGAGGCTGCTGAGACAGGTCCCCAGCAAGGCTCGCCAAGGCACCAGTCACACTGTGCACACCCGTTATTGCTCATCCAAAGGTTTGCTTCTACAGCGGGAGAAAATGTGGTTCCTGCTCCCCGTCCTCATCCGCCAGGTAACTGCCAGCACGGGAGGCTGAGCCTGCTCTCCCTCACTCCTCCTCTTGCTCCCTTTCTCCCCACCTAGATCTTTCTCTAGAGCCAGAATCCCCCTGCTCACCTCCAGAGCCAGTTGCAGCTGCACCTCATTCATCGTGAGCGTCCTGACACTCAGAGGCCCGTCTCCGTGTCTCTTGCTGGGCATGAGTGCTGTGCCACCCCGCGGGGACAGTCAGTGGAGCTGCGAAGCGTGACTTTCCTGCCTGAGCAGCCCCGGGGCTTTGGCCTTCTCAGGGTCGGCAACCCCAGGAGACCACCCCCGCTGGCCCTGTCCTTGATGTCAGGTAGGAAGTGGTCCCTCCCTGGTTGGGAGGATTCCGGCCTGGGACATGACTGTTGGATAGATAGCTGCTGTCAGGCCATTCTGCACCTCGGTTTGTTAAAAGTGAAGATCAACATAGCTGGCCCAGAGTCAGGAAGAGAGGCTTGCGTGCTGCAGGGAAAGGCCCTCGGACAAGAAAAGTGACGCAGCTTCAGTCAAGGCCAGGGGAGTAGAGCGGGCAGGCCACACACAGGGCCTAACGGGCTGGCACAGCAGCAGGGCTGCCCAGGGTCTCGGGCAGCCTGGTCCCATTAACAGATGCCCCCCAGCAAAATGAATCACTCCGCCTTCAATGCTGTCATTGCAACATATCCACACTTCCTCTGTGGCTCTTGGAACCCGGGGTTATAATTATCTGGTGAGGAATCCTTGGGGCAGCCACACGCTACCTGTGCCAGATTCCTCCTGATTGCTCCCCACATTGCAGAGTCCTGACATCGCGCTGGGCCCAGCCACCCCTCTGTTCATCCAGCCTTGCTTCCTGACGGCCCTGCCCTAGATGCCGTGCTGGGTGCTGGAGTGCCATGCCGGCCACTCCCCAACTTCACGCAGCCACACAGCCAACTTGCTGTGTACCAGGCACTGTGCTGGCTGCTGGGACCCTAAAAGAGCTGTCAGAGGGTGAGCTGATGATATCCAAGCGCAAAGGACTGAAATGGAGAAATAGAAGCACGCTTCAGAGCCAGGCAGGGCTGGGAGCAAGAAGGAACAGAGAGGGGCATGACCAGGTGGGCGTCCTGGAGGAGGTGGCATGGGTGCTCGGCCCGAGGACTGAGTAGAAGCTGACTGCGTGGGAAAGTGCTCAGTGTAATTGTAGGCAGGGGAAGAGCATGGCACAGGCTTGGTGTCCCTGGGCACAGCCAGCTTGCATTGTAACCTGGTTTTAGGGTGCCTGGAGAGGGGGCACAGAGGGCCTGAGGACCTTGAAGGCCAGGAGACTTGATAGGACCCGAGACCCTGGGTGCACATGCACTGGTGCCTCATTGTAGGTGGGAATTTTCCCAAGTCCTGCCCACCTTCTCCAGGCCTGGGAGGGAGAGAGTACCCCAGGGAGGTACCAGAGGTCCCCCTCCAGTCAGGGGCCACTGCAGGGGGCGGCCTCCTCTAGATCACACCCACTAGTGGAGCTGAAGCCACACAGACCTCCCCCCACTCTCACCCCTGCAAGGAGGAGCCTGGGGCCCAGGTGAGGGTTGGGGGACCCCAGTAGGACTTGGTCCATCATTCATTCACTCAGTCAACACTCTGGTGTGGAGTCCATCTTCTTGGGGCTCCCCCCAAGGGAGACAGAAGACAAAAAAAAAGGAAAGCCTCCCATTACATTGGACGGTGATAGTGCCGTGGAAAGGTGAGGCAGGAAGCGGGAGGCACGGGAGGCCAGGCGTGGGGCGTGGGGGGTGGCCCTGCCTAGGGAGGGCCAGGTGTGGGGCATGGGGGATGGGCCCGCCTAGCGGAGGGCCGGAGGGGACCAGCCACTTTTGTCTGCTGCCAAATCTATTGTGACTTTAATAAAGTGAGAAAGGAAGCCAGTCACAGCATCACCCGGGTTATCAACACCGGTGTGATTCTCCTGGGCACCCGCCGCAGTGGGCCTCTGCCTCCTGCCAGTCCTCAGTGGGGAGGGGCTTCCTACCCCGACCTCTGTCACATCTTTCAGCTCTGGTTCCCCTCACCCAGCTGCCTGTGCCCCTGTTATTTCTCTGGTCTCAACTCATTGCTGGTTTTTACCTTGGGGGGAAAAAAATCCAAGCATGGAAGCCTCTTAATACAAACCAGATGAGGGGCTGGTAACAATGTTTTTCTCCGCATCAATCATCCGAGTTCTCGCTGTGCTGAGAATTTGGTAAGCCCTCGTCGGCTCTACCGAGAATCCCTTCCAGACTGCCCGGCAAGACGCAGGAAGACAATGCCGCCTTCTGTGTTAAGTTGAGCAGAGCACCTTTGCACATGTGTTCACCCCACTCCTGCTTGGGTTCAGGTGGGATTTGGGGGTCGGCCTGTGCTGCTGACGCGGGTGGGGGAGGCTGACCCTCTGCAGTGGGACGAGCTGCAGCCCTGAATTTGATCTCCCTCCCTGCTGGGGGGTTGGCCTGGGCCGTGTGCAGAGAGTGGCTGGGCCTCAGATGGAAGGGCTGAGGAAGGGCTGGATTCAGAGCAGGTGGAGTGGCAGGACCCAGGACCTCTTGGAAGTCCCTCCCTAAATCAGACTTAGGAAGGTGGGAGCCACTGGGCACCCATGGGGGCCTGGTCCTGGGAAGGGGCTCTGCAGACCCCTTTCCCCTCCTGAGGCAGAATGCTCTGCAGCCAGGCAGGGAGCTCAGCCCAGAAGCCAGGTAGTAAATGGGCGTGAGGCACTTTGTTAGCAGGGAAGCCGCTGTGAGGGTATGCCTGCTGGCCCAGCGCCGTTCGGAGCCCTGAGGCCACACACCCAACCCTGACTGCCAAGGGAGGTAGCCATGAACATGGAAAAGGACCAGAATGCAGCATGACAGGGCTGCGGTGGGGGTGGGGGAGACAGGATGGGGCCTTGACCCTGCCAGGGGCAGTTTAGGGTGGCCTTCTGCCTGAGGTGTCCCCTCCTCAGTAAGAAAAAGCCATTAGCAATGAGGTAGAGGAGGGGTTCTTTTCAGCAAAATAATGAGAAGAAAGCAGGTGATCATAGCCCAGAGTCGCCCCGAGTGCGTGGGAACACAGAGGTCCCTGCAAGAGGCAGAGCTGCTGGGAAGAGCCCGCCCAAGCCCTGGGCGGCAGGTGGAGAGGCCAAGGCAAGGCCAGTCGGGGGGCGGCGTCAGGGCAGCTGGAGCTGGATGGGAACAGGGGCGGGGGTGAGGTCACAGGCCATCAGGAGGCACATGGAGGCATGCGAGACCCCGAGGGGCACTGCTGGGGCTGGGAGGCATGAATCCAGGACAGGGGAGGATGATCAAAGTTCTAGACCACTCCTCTAAGTTTCTAGAACTGTGCTAGCCTATATGGTAGTCACTAGTCCGTGTGGCTATTTAAATTTATTCTTTGTTTTTTTTTTGTTTTGTTTTTTTGGGTTTTTTTTTTTTTTTTTTGAGACAGAGTCTTGCTCTGTCACCAGGCTGGAGTGCAATGGCGCAATCTCGGCTCACTGCAAGCTCCGCCTCCCGGGTTCAAGTGATTCTCCTGCCTCAGCCTCCCGAGTAGCTGGGATTATAGGCGCCCGCCAGTGCGCCCAGCTAATTTTTGTACTTTTAGTAGAGACAGGGTTTCACCATGTTGGCCAGGATGGTCTCGATCTCTTGACCTCATGATCCGCCCGCCTCAGCTCCCAAAGTGCTGGGATTACAGGCGTGAGCCACCACGCCCGGCCCTATTTTTTTTTTTAATAGAGATATAACACAACATAAAATTCACCATTTAAAGTGTATGACTCGGTGGTTTTTAGTGTATTCACACACTGTGCAGCCGTCACCACTGTCTGATTCCAGAAAGTTTCCATCACCCCAGAGAGAAGCCCTGGCAATCCCTCCCCATACCCCTCCCCCCATGCCCGTCCCCCAGGCTCTGGCATCCCCGTGTCTACTTCTTTCAGTCTCTCTGGATTCGCCTGTTCGGGACATTTCCTGTGAGTGGAACCATACACAGTGTGGCTTTTTTCACCTAGCACGTGTTCAAGGTTCATTCGTGGCTATTTAAATTTAAAAAGTTAAATGAAAGATAAAATCCAGTCCTTCGGTCACACTGGTCATATTTCAGGTGTTCCACGGCCACCTTTCAGTTTCCGTGTGGGTGGCTCAGCGGACGTTTCCATCCTTGCAGAAAGGTCTCGGGCCAGTGCGGCTCCCAGTGCCTCAGTGCGCGGTGAGGACAGGGAGGGAGGGGGAGGCGGCCTCAAGCAGGGCCACCAGACCCTGCTGGGCCTCACCCTGCTCACCAGATGGGCATGGACTCAGGTCCCCTTTTCAGGTCCCTGGAGGCCGTAAGGAGACCCACCAATGATTTTTGCTGTTTCACAACCTCTGAGGAAAATCATGCCTTGGTGAGGTATCAGCCTCCCAGGCCAACCCAAGGCTGGGTCGCTGGGATTTCCGCTGGAGCTTTATCAGCCCAGTGTGAGGCTGGTGTCTATCTGCAGCCTTCAGAGGCTCCGACGGGCCGCTGCATATGACTCTGATTAATCATGATGGGAAAACAAGTTAGCTGTTGCTACGTAAATGCAGCTTGGGACACATGATCTTTTCGGGGGGAAGGAAAAGAATGAAAAGGGCCCTTGTGTGATTTCAGCATCTACAGGCAACCATTATTAGCATTCTTGTTGATAGCCTTCAAGAGTCAGATTGTGGGGAAGTATGTGAAGGGGCATACATAGAAACATGCATGTATGTATATTAAGACGTATGTACATATGTCTGTTTAACTTCAAAAGATCAATTTGTGGCCAGGCCTGGTGGCTCACACCTGTAATCCCAGCACTTTGGGAGACCAAGGCGGGTGGATCACCTGAGGTCAGGAATTTGAGACCAGCCTGGCCAACATGGTGAAACCCCACCTGTACTAAAAATACAAAAAAATTAGCCAGACATGGTGGCAGGCCCCTGAAATCCCAGCTACTGGGGAGGCTGAGGCTGGAGAATAATTTGAACCTGGGAGGTGGAGGTTGCAGTGAGCCGAGATCGCACCAATGCACTCCAGCCTGGGCGACAGAACGAAACTCCATCTTAAAAAACAAACAAACAACAACAAAAATAAATAAATAATAAATAAATAAATAAAAAGATCAATTTAAACCCATAGCTTTTCTTTCATTCCTGACAATTTACAGCGATTTTTTTTTAACAAATCTACTTTAATTCCAAAAGAAATTAATCTAGAATGGTCAGTAATATACAACATGCTTTTATGTTTATTTTATAGATATCTAATACAAGTTTATTTGTATATGTGCAATGTATAATAACTCTATAACTCTATCTTAGATATGAGTCCTAACAGGATGAAAATATTTTCTTGTAACTACTACTTTATGCCTATGAAGGGTGTGAACTTGCAGTGTCCTCCTGTCTTAAACCCAAGTGAATGACCATGTCCTCCCAAAATTTTTCATAAATTATTAATGATCTAATTTCATTTTAAAATGGTTTCAAAAAGTCCGGGCGCAACGGCTCATACCTATAATCCCAGCACTTTGGGAGGCTGAGGCAGACAGATCATGAGGTCAGGAGATTGAGACCATCCTGGCTAACACGGTGAAACCCTGTCTCTACTGAAAAAAAAAAAAATACAAAAAATTAGCCGGGCGTGGTGGCGGGCACCTGTAGTCCCAGCTACTCGGGAGGCTGAGGCAGGAGAATGGCGTGAACCCAGGAGGCGGAGCTTGCAGTGAGTCGAGATCGCGCCACTGCACTCCAGCCTGGGTGGCAGAGCGAAACTCTGTCTCAAAAAAAAAAAATGGTGTCAGCAAATACGAAAATAGAAAGTCCTGTTATTTGCCCATTCATAATATGAGAAAAAAAAAAGAGATGATACATTTCTCTATAGAACAAGTGTGTTTAGAGAACAGTTCTGGTAGTATTTCACATGGTGAAGTTTCAAAAGGTCTAATAAGCAGGCCCCTTGCTCAGGGAAAAAAATGATTTCAATGTGTTTCTCTTCCGAATTGCTCCAAGTGATTTTCAAACTAGGGGGCAGATTACTGGCACCGAGTTCATCAAATTTAGGTCTGTCTTGAATAGGGACATTATAGAAATCAAGAACATCTCTAACCCCGCACATCTGGTGGAGTCTGGAGTTAGAGACTACGTGACCCAGGCCATCAGCTAAATGTGCCAAGAGATTGAACTTTAGATGACCATCTTCCTGGGAGATGTCGTGCCAATTACCAGGAAGAGATGAACCAAAAGCTTCTTTAACATAAGATTCCAAATGACTCTGGAGATCTCCAGGTGGTGAGTATCCTCAGCTTCATGAGGGTGGACACACTGCAATAGGTTCCTTTTTCACCTCTTCTGTCTCAGCAACCACTGGCACTTTCTCTTTTCTGGATCGAGACCCAAATTCTCTACGTGTTGTCCCTGAGACTGTCCACATGAAGACTCTTCTGGTAATGCCAGACACAGATCGCCCCGCCATCTTCAATGAGATCCATGGGCCTGAGCTACAGTGATCTTAACAAAGAGAAATTTGGAAACTTTCTGGAGGCAACGGGCATACAGTAGGCCCTCTGTTTCAGTAGGTTCTGTGTCTCTGGTTTCAACCAACTGTAGATCAAACATATTAGGAAAAAATGGGTAGTTGTATTTGTATTAAACACAGACCTTTCTTTTTTTTTTGAGACAGAATCTCGCTCTGTCGCCCAGGCTGGAGTGCAGTGACATGATGTCGGCTCACTGCAACCTCCGCCTCCCAGGTTCAAGCGATTCTGGTTGTCCTGCCTCAGCCTCCTGCGTAGCTGGGACTACAAGGGCACGCCACCAGACCTGGCTAATTTTTGTAATTTTAGTGGAGACGGGGTTTCACCATATTGGTCAAGCTGGTCTCCAACTCCTGACCTCAGGTGATCCACCCACCTTGGTCTCCCAAGGTGCTGGGATTACAGGCGTGAGCCACCACGCCCGGCCACAGACCTTTCTTCTTGCCATTATTCCCTAAACAACTGTGTAAAATACAGTGTAACAACTGTTTACATAGCATTTACATTGATTAGGTATCAGAATCTAGAGACAATTTGAAGATGTGTGTAAGCTATGTGCAAATAGGACATTATCTTCTGTAAGGGACTTGAGCATCCATGGATTTTGGTATCTTTTGGGGGTGCTGGATCCAATCCCCCACAGATACCAAGGGATGACCATACTTATATTACTGCAAAATAAAACCAGTTTCTACACGTTCATTTCTTTTCTAAAAGTTCAAGTGATGGGCATAATGTAAAAATTAGGGATAGACAGCTGTCTTGGACTTTTGGAGAAGAGAGAAATTTGGGTTCAGAATGGTCTTTTAAAAAACATTTTAGGCCGGGTACGGTGGCTCACGCCTGTAATCCCAGCACTTTGGGAGGCCAAGGTGGGCAGATCACGAGCTCAGGAGATCGAGACCATCCTGGCCAACATGGTGAAACTCCATCTCTACTAAAAATATAAAAATTAGTGGGCCGTGGTGGCGTGCACCTGTAGTCCCAGCTACTCAGGAGGCTGAGGCAGGAGAAGTGCTTGAACCCAGGAGGCAGAGGTTGCAGTGAGCCAAGATCACGCCACTGCGCTCCAGCCTGGGCGACAAGAGCAAGACTCCGTCTCCAAAAAAAAAAAAAAATATATATATATAATGGAAAAATTCAGATGTTTGCACAAGCAGAACAGTGTCATGAACTCCCATGCACGGACCCCACATCCAGCTTCAAGAAATTTCAGCTGTATCCCATCCACACCCCTTCCTCTTCATTCCTCTGATTTATGACTTAGTTGTCTTTCTTCTAAAAAGCCTGTAGCTGGATTTTGGCTTCTATCCAATCAACAGTCTTTGCCTTTTTACCGACAAGTTTATGGTTTCAGCTTGTCCCCTGCCTTTTCTAGGTTTCTTGGTTAATCCTTTCTTTTTATAAATAAAAATGTTATCCATATGTTCCTCGGTCACATGACTGCTCCCTCGTGTCCCAGGATCTCCCCTCCACCTAGTCCCCATCCTGTCACTCTCTTTCTCTTCTGGATCTTAGCTAATTGATGGGGGTGGAGGCGGGAAACAGTCTTCGCTTCGGAATCTGATCACCCTTTGATCTTCTCATGTCTTGAACCATGTGCTGGTCCTGAGTGTTTCCCACGTGGGTCTTTATGTGGCCAACTTCTAGGGCCTTCTGTGGTTGAGAATGTGTTGGCCATGCCCTCACACTTGGGTGACAGTTGGCTGGATGTAAAATTCAGGGTGCAAAGTTCAGTACTCAAAATTTCAGTGTTCACTTCGGTACTCAAAACCATTATTCCTCCCCTGTGGCCTTACAGTCCATGTGGTTGTTGGAAAGTGTGGTTCTGTCCAAGTCTTGCTCCTTCGTCATGTTCTCTGCTCTCTGGGGACTTTTAGGCATCTCTCTATCTCTGATGGTCTTAAGTTTCACTCGAATGTGTTGCAGTATAGATTTTCTCTTACTTCTATTTGGAATTCTATGGGCTTTTTCTGTTTGTTTGTTTTTTTTTTCTTGACAAGAATGAGACTTTAATCAGTTTTAAGTGGAGTTTATAACACTAAGAGATAAAGGGTTGTTAACAAACACAATCACAAATGGACATGTGATTGGGATGAGGCATTATCCTGTACACATCATATTGGGATTTTTGTGTATCCTCAGTGCCCAGCATTTACACACAGAGCCACTGCTGCACAGCCAAACTCAGCAGGGAGCTTCAGATGCTCTGGCCGGTGGGACCTGGGAAATGGGGCATCACTCAACCCAGGGAAGCTCAACCCAGAGCAGCAGCCTGTGTCTCCGCCCAGGAAACTGCAGGTATCAAGGGGGCCTTTGAGCCACTGCCCAGACTGCCCCTGCCAGCCTGTGAGGCCACCTTCGGATGAGTGAAGGCCAGGTGGGTGAAGACATGGAGCAAACAGACTCAGGATGATAAATGCAGGAGGGGAGTTGTGGCCTGAGAAAAAGGATGCCAGGAAACCACCTTGGTGCTAGCGATTCCACATAGTGAACTGTAACCAGCTGTCACCCGGCCAGATGGCAGTCCCCATCCCAGACCTGCTGGAGCTCCAGGTGGGAGACACTGTCCTAAGTGCAAATATTCCTCCATCGTGGGCCATGTGGGAACTGCAGCCGCACTCAGCAGCCTTCCGCAGAAGTGGTTCAGCAAAGGAATCAAAGCACTTCCTGGCTCAGAGCTGGGCACTGAGGAGATGATAACACAGCAAACAGCGGTCCCCCTGCCATGGAGCTTTCGTTGTGGTTAGAGGAGACAGGCGGTAAATGAGGGTTTCACAGGTCCGAAGGTCGGTGTGTTACGAAAAATGGTAGGCAGGTGAGGGCAATCTCCAGTGCCGGGTGAGAGCGAGGGTGGCAGTTTTCCATGAGAAGGTGGCATGTGAGCAAAGACGTGAAGGCAGTGAGGGGCTCGCCAGGTGCTGTCTGGAGGAAGACAGGCCCCAGAAACAGGAAGAGCCAAGGGTCAGGTCCTGAGGCGGGCGGGGTGCCGGCTGCTGCTGGAGCAACAGAGACTACTGTGGCTGAAACGGGGATGAGGGAGAGAGGTGAGTGGGAGACGAGGTCAGGGACAAGAGGCCCAGGTCTGCCAGCAGATCGGGGGCAACCTGTGGGCAGGTGGGCAGGCCACACCTGAGACCCTGTGCTGGCTCCCCAGCCTCTTCCAGCCTCACCCACCCAGGGCCCAGAGCAAAGCCCAAGGCAGAGCCATCCGTGGAAAACATCTGCCTCCCCACCCTTGTCCTGTTTGCTTGTAGATTTTGAAAACAAAACCTTCACTGGGGGACCCCTTTGCTCAGGTCAGAAGAGCCAGGCTAGCCAGGCCCTTCCTCCTGTGCTCTGGGGTACCCGATTGGAGCAGGGGTCCGGGAGAGGGCCACCAAAGTGTGCCCTGCATGGGAGGCCTCAACTCAGGGAGGCTGAAGGAAGTGTTGACCGACCTATCTTGGGTTCCCCAGCCAAGGTTCTTATTCTCCTTGTAAAGACCTGACGGGTCAGGCATGGTGGCACGCACCTGTGGTCCCAGCTAGTCCAGAAGCTGAGGCGGGAGAATTGCTTGAGCCCGGAAGTTCAAGGCTGAAGTGAGCTCATCGCACTACTGTGATCCAGCCTGAGTGACAGAGACCCTGTCTCAATAAACTTTTTAAAAAAGAAGACCTAGTGGGGCAGGCACTGGACAGGGAGTGGGGGGATGCAGCCAGGCCCTGCTCCACCATCAGGAGCCATGTGGCCCACAAAAGGTCAGCCCAATTGTCTCAGCTCAAGGGACTCAGTTCCTCCATCTTCATAATGGGGGAAATAGAGCTGGTGGGTATGGTCAGTATGAGGTCTAAACCAGCTGATCTCTGCCTGGCAGGACAGCCACCCCTGCGGGGTCTGACCTTGAGCCCCGCGCCCATGCACATCAGCCATGCTGCCTGGCCTCACGCTTCATGCTTGCAAAGAGAGCAACAGCATGGCTTTCTGGATGGAAAGTGGGAGCACCATGTAAGAAAAGCCAGGCCTTGCCCCGGCCACCTCCATTCCCGCCCACCTCCATTCCGGTGAGACTCCCTCACTGCCCCTGGGAGGGCCGAGGACTAGAATCCCCGGTGTCCAGTTTGCCATCAGCCAAACACATGCAGAGCCTTGATGGGTATTCCCTGTGTGCTCTGGGACCATCAGCTTCTCCTGAGAGAACTTCAGGCCACTCCTGACCTCTGCGTCAGCCCCTGGATTTCCGCAAGATTCCTAGATGGTTCGCATGCACCAGGGATTTGAGAAGCTCTGACCAAACGGAGCAGCCCACACTGTGGGCTTCAGATCCTTCAAGGCTGGAGTGTAGCTGGAGTCGTGGTGTGGAGCTGGGCTCTTCAGTATCTAAGGCAAAAGCAGAAGTGAACGTTAATTGCCAAGGAGACCAGCTTTTATTTCCCCTTCTACCCCTCCTGCGCTGGAGCCACCAGCAAAGCTGTTCTGACACATGCTTCTTGGATAATTGTTTTTCTTACATGAGCACATTTTTTGGTGAGGCTTATTGCTGGTCAGAAAGGTGTCCTTGTTCTCAGCCAGGCCCATCCCTGCAGCAGGCTCCCTGCCTAGGAACTTTCATAGGTGCATTCCTCATGAGAACGCTGTGAGGAGGGAGTATGATGCCCATCTCATGGCTAAACATGTGAGATGCCCAAGGTCAAACAGCTAGAGACAGGCAACACCAGAATTCATCTCCCTAACCCGTCCATCCATTCATCGACCCCTCATCCCTCTACTCATCTCTTCATCCCCCAACAGCCACCCGCCACCCACCCATCCCACCACCTAATCATAAGTCATTGTTGCAGAATCACATTTTAGGTGGGATTTTTATTCTTGCATAAGGCAAAAATTGTACATGTTCCAAATCACTCCTGAAAATCTCTCAGGTTACCCATGAAAGCCAGGAATGCTTCCTCTCTCTGCCAGCCCCACAGAGCTCCAGTGCTGGGGAAAAGCAGCTAGAGCTGGCATTCAGAAGCCCTTGAGTTCAAGAAAGTCTTCATCACCAAACTCCAGAGTTCAGCTGGAGGCTCCCACCCCATACAAGGCAGTGGGAAGTGAGGCCCACTGAGGCGCTGGCAGATTCACGTCCCCCCACTCATGTTTACTCCAGTGCATAAAGGAACATATCCTCAGTGCTTACATCATTTTTCTCTTATTTTCCCCCACACATGCTAGCTGGCTGTGAGGTCAGTGAGAATGCCTCTCCACCACACAGCCAAGGATAGGCTCAGTCCCACGCCATCCCCTCATGGCTTCAGCTGCCTGCTGGTCAGTGCAGGATCTGAGGCTGTAGTAACAGGAGCACAATGCCTTGAACAAGGGAGGTGTTTTTCCTGCCCTGCTCTGCTCTGAGGCTTAAGGATCTCATTTCGGGAGTCTTAGTGCAGAGGGACAGAATGTATTGGATGGGGCAGGGCCAGAGAAGGTTTTCAGGATGGCGGAGGCTTGAGGAACACACACCCTGTAGAGATAATTCTGGAAACTGTGGTCGTGGCTTTGCCTGTCCATCTCTTAGGAGGTTTTGTGAGGAGAGGTTGGGTTTGTTCTGTATGGCCCCAAGGACCCAGACGAGTGCTGAGTGGACCTGAGGCAATGGGTTTTAGTTCAGTGGAGGAAGAGCTCTCTAATAGGCAGAGCTATCCAAAGACAGCATGAACCTCTCTTTGAGGTAGTGAGCTCCCAGTCAGGGGAAGTGTTCAAGGGGAGGACACATGAGCACTCCTCTGGAGGCTGGAAGGGAATTCCTGCCTAAAGCAGGAGCAGTGAATTCATGACCCACAGGCTCATGCAGCCCTGAGCTTCTGTTTCCAAGCCCTAAGATGTGTTGTTGATAGAGACAAGCCTCAGCCTGTCTCTGGCCTTCATTCAGCTGTGATAGTCTCATCGGGTTTACATGTAATTTAGACAGATTCCTGTTAAGCCAGAAGGAAAAAGAGGCAGAGGATCCCCCTTGTGTGGGCACTTGGTCGCCCTCTCTTCTGATGCCCTGGATCTGCATATCCTCAGCTGGTCTCTGTTCCCCAGGACCCCCCCATTAACCAAATCATCTGGAGTTTAAGTACATGGTTCCCACCAAACACAAGCCGACTTCTCTACCCGATGCTGGCCAGTGACCCAGGAGCAACACCTTACCCGGTGCTGGGTGACCCAGGAGCTACCCCATTCCCGGTGCTGGCCAGTGACCCAGGAGCTACCCCATACCCGGTGCTGGGTGACCCAGGAGCTACCCCCATTCTTGGGGGAGCAACCTGCTGCGCTGCTGTCATTAAAGGGCTTCCAGGATGACGGCAGCGGCGCCCCAGCTTGCACCTGAGCCACAGTACCATGCTCTT
This sequence comes from Homo sapiens, assembly GCF_000001405.40. Lineage (NCBI taxonomy): Eukaryota > Metazoa > Chordata > Mammalia > Primates > Hominidae > Homo > Homo sapiens. The sequence continues at coordinate 178,338,431 of NC_000005.10, read as the reverse complement.
TGCGGGAAGGCAGTCCTTGCTGAGAGTCCTGTGGGTTGTGGGATTAGCACCTGCTGTCCCTGGGGCTTCATTCTGAGGGCTTGACCAGCCTTTGCTATCTCACTGTGCCCTCTGGACTGTGCCCTCTGGACTTCCTGGAGATCAGGCCCTGAGACTGACACCGTCCCTCTCTGGCCAGCCTGGTTCTGAGGTGGGTCTGTCTGACTGTGCCAGCTGTGCTGTCTGCCTGGGTCCCTGGCAAGGCTCAAGGGACTTTCAGAAGCACCTGATACCAAAAAGTCATGGCTAACAGCATGGACCCTGGAGTCAGACCGCATGGGTCAGTTCCCCTGCCCATACTCCCAAGACTCCCAAGATGTGTGGCCCCAAGTACAGCCCCTCCGTTTCTCAGCTTGCTCTAACATGGAGATAACAGTGGCTGCCACTTCACGGAGTTGTCAGGAGCCTGGGTGAAATGATACACGCAAAACACAGTGCCTGGCATGAGGTCACTGCTCCATAAATGTCAGGGATTATAATTTTAACAATAATAATGAAAAAATATATAAACAAATAGATTGTATAATATCATAAAATATAATAATGATTAAAATTATCATTTTTTTGACTCCTCCATGACCCCATGAGCCTGTTTGTTTCCATCACCAGACGCTAATGGTGGACAGTGAGTGATGCTTTCGTGCCAGGAAGATGGGGGGTGTCTGTGGAGCAGCCTCAGTCTCTGGGGACAGAGGAAGCCTGCAGTCCTGGATGGCGGGGAGAGCAGTGGCTCCTGAGTGTCCCCAACCTCCTGCCCCCTCTACAGCGCCTCCCCCAGCCCGGCAGAGCCCACCTACCCCCAGAGCAGGGAGTCTGGCCCTGGAAGGATGCTCTCCATAACCCTGCACCCCACTCCGTCTCTCTGTCTTTCCACCCACTCTGGATGTGTGGAGAGCCTGGCAGTCAGCCCAGTTTCTGGAAGGGTCTCATGTGTTTGAACTCACTCCAATTTATGGAACCAATTTTCAAACTAAGGAGAGGTGACGTCTGGACTGTGCCATTAGAGCCCGCCTCCAGAGTGGAAAGGTGGGTGAAATCTGTTGGTTTACAAACGCTCCAACTCCCACGGGAACCTCTGCTCCTTCCCGGGGTCTGGCCGGGGATCACCGGGACAGGAACACGCATGCTCTCCTCGCCCTCACACGCGGGTCTCTGCGCTCCAGCAAGTGCACGCAGGCTGTGGGGAGGATGGCTCCACACTCAGACCCCTCTCAGATGAGCGAGGCCGGCCTGGCGCAATGTGTCGTGGCCCACACGTGCAACTTCCATGCTGCACATTCCCTGATGTCCTCCGCAGGCCCCCCTCCCATGGGAAATCGAATTCCAATAGGGGGCAGGGACAGACTGGAGAGATCTGCGTGATCCCTGTTTCCGCCGCTCTGAGCAGCTCGCTGGCTCCGGGGAGGAGTGTATTTACTCTTTGCAAGTGCAAACCCACGCCTCGGTATAGCAGAGGCCTTGGAAAAGCAGCTGCAGGAAAGTTGCACTTGTTTCAGCTTTGCCTTTTTTTGTTTTTTTCCTTCTACCCTCTTAGGAGAGCCAGTTTTCCCTCCTTTTAATTTTTGTTTTTAAAAGCACCGTTAAGTCCAAGATGAAACAGATTGCTCTGCCAAAAGGAAGACGAACTATTAGCTGGATTCTTTTTTAAAATTATTGAAGTGAAATTCACATCACATAAAATTAACCAGTTTAATGGAACATTTCAGTGGGGTTGAGTACATTCCCAGTGTCACACCACCGTCACTTGTATCTCGTTCCAAAGCATTTCAGCACCCAAAAGGATACTCCTCCCCTGTAAGCAGTGGCTCTCCCCGGCCTCTGCGTGGCAACCACCAGTCTGTGCTATCTCTGGTTGACGTATTCTGTACTTTTCATATAAATGGAATCACACAATCTGAGGCCTTCTGTGCCTGGCTTCATTCACTTAGCACAATGCTTTCAGGGTTTATCCATGTCATAGCATGTATCTGTACTTCATTCCTTTTTATGGCTGAATAATATTCCATTGTATGGATAGACCATGTTTTGTTTACCCATTCATCAGGTGATGGCCATCTGGGTTGTTTCTGCCTTTCGGCTGTTGTGAATAATGCTGCTAGGAACATTCGTGTACAAGTACTTGTTTGAACACTTGTTTTCAGTTATTTGGGATATATACCTAGCAGTGGAATTGCTGGGTCATATGGTAACTCTGTGTTTAGCTTTTTGAGAAACATCTGAATGCTTTTAGATGTTATTGAACACCTAATGTGTGTGCCAGCCTGTGCCGGGTTCTTACTTCACCTCACCCTCCTCAGAGCCCCAAAACTCTAGGCTTCCCTTGGGCACCTGGCTTATTCCACTCATGCTAAAGAGGGCTTCTTCGTCCCCATTAGCCTGCCACTTGGATAAGGCAAAACGAACCTCAGAAACAGACACCAAACATAGCCACCTAAAAGCTGGTGATACAGCAAGGCTATTTGCTTATCCCAAATCCTTTGGAATTCTTGGCAAAGACATGGTAGATCAATTGTAGCTCAAATATAGTGAGCAAACTGGCATTTTGCAAGAACTTTGCCAGTGAACTTTGCAACTTTGCAAGAACTGTGCAAGAAGTTCGCCACAGTGATCACTTTGCCAGTGATCACAGTGTCCTAGGTCTAGTTCCTAGACCTGGGAGCTTGCTGCGGATCTTCCTCCTTGAATTGTCCATCTATGCTGAAAGCAGGCAAGGCAGAAACTCCTTTTTGGTCTCTCCTCTTCATAGGGAGATACTGAAACTGCAGTCTCTATATGGCTGGAAGGACTGGCATATTCTAGCACAAGGGTCTCCAGATACACATGGACCAGGCCACCTGCCCTGGCTCAGTTTCAAGAAGGAATATCTGGTACATGCCCAGGCGCTGCATATTCAGCTCATGAAATAAGCAGGAAGTCATGTGATCTAAGCAGCTGACATCTTTTTGTCTTCCTTATTCCTTCTCCCGGCGCAGGGGGACCGCTCTTCCTATGGGACTGGATTAAAATTCAATTATGCCTCTTGAAATTCCTGGTTACCATGAGGTAACAGAAAGCCCTTCCATCACTTTAAATCACAGAACACACTTGTGATTTGTAAATTATGTTATCCACTCCAAAATTATTATGAACACATCATTTCTCTTCAAAGATCTGAGTGGCTAGAGGGTTTAAAATGTAGCATTCCTGTGAAATCCCACCTTTCATTTTTAATTAGGAAACATTGCTGCTGAACACGCCTCCTTGGTTGGCGCACCAGGGCAGGCCCTCCTCAACTTCCCGTTACTGTGTTTGGTCTGTGGCCCTGAGCCGCTCTGAGACTTCCCACTTACCAGGCTCCCCAGCCTCAGGGCTGCTCTTAGGGACGCCTGTGGTCTCCACCTATGGAGGAAACCCTTCGTGCCTTGAACAGAATGTCGGAACGTGCTCATCAGCCCCATCCAAGTCTGGGGTGTGGGGGAGGCACAGGCTATGTGGTCAGCTGCCTGGATCTGAGGATGTCACCTCATTACCCACTAAGTGTGTGACACTAAGAAAGCCACCTCTTTGGGCCCTGTCATCTTACCTGTAAAATTACTAATAATATTCCCACCTCCTAAGACTTGGCGGAAACGTGTGAGACAACATATGTGAAAATACCCAGACTACACCAGTCCCTTGGTTCGTGTCATCTAGTGGGGTTCGTGTCGCTGTCTTTAAGTGCAGATGGCAGGTAGGTGACAAGACCCATGTAGGTAATTTTCTTGGGAAGTGTCTCTCCCTTGAGATTTCCCATGTGTAAGGGAACACACAACTTGGGGAAATCAAACCATGGGTGCCGCTAGGTAACACTCCCAGCGGGAAGCCCTCACATGTGCAAGCAGTAATCACCGAGTTATGGTCCTCTTTGAAATGCTAATGTGGACTTGTTCCCATGAGCTTATTTCATTTGAGGAACCAGAGGCACGAAGAGGGTGGCCTGTGCCGGCCGGTGCCGCCCGGTGGCCCCCTTCCTGCCCACAAACGGAAATCATTTCTTTCGGCAAAAGGGCAGGATTGGCTTCAGGGGCATGGGCTCGATCCAGGCATGTGCTTTGGGCACGTCATGAGACTGATCTCAGAGAATTGTTGTGGGTCGTCTTGCTGATGTGGACACACCCAGCACTGCGCCGGGCACACAGTGGGAGTTTAATAAACGTGAGGTGAGGCTGCTTAGAGTCTGGGGAACTGAAACGCATCACAGCCGCACTCCAGAGAGCAGGAGGGAGGCAAGTCTGCAGTGGAGGGCAGAGAAGACCCAGGGTACCCTTAGCCCACAGCCTTGAGGACCCGGACATCCCCAGGGCATGGGGTGGAGGACAGGGAACTTGGCTGCAACCTCCCCAGCTACTCCCCTGTGGAGAAAGGGAAAACCTCTCTCCGAAGGTGCACAGGCATTTCCAAGATCTGGAAGGGGGACTGACCAGGGGCTCACGCACTGGACAGTGAGTCCAGCTGCCCCTTGGCTACCTCACGGGCCCTGTCCAGGTCTGGGGACCTCATATCACTGAGACAGGAAGAAGCAGGGTGGATCAGCCTTCCCCGTGCTGCGTTCTCTAAACTCACCCCAACACCCTGTTCTACCAGGATGGATGCTCTTGAGACCCCAGGAGCAGCCCACTTCCTCAGGGGGCCAGTCACAGGCCAGGCTTGTTCTGCAGATGGACGTCCTCCCAGGCCCGGCCTGGGGGCAGAGGCCCTGATGATCACCACCCAGGATGAGGAGCGCCAGGATGGAAGGGTGTGCAGGGGACTGTGGGCGCCTCAAGACTGAAGCCTCGGGTCCAGGAGGCAGGGGATGCCTTTCACAAAGGGCTTGATCACTGGGACCAGGCCGCACAGGCATGTTGCCAGGCAGAGGAGTGAGGACATGAAAGGGCGTGGCTGGGTGGGGAGGCAGCCTGGATAAGGGACAGAGATAAGAACTGTGGGTCCCTGCATGCAGGGATGGTGAGGGAGGACGCTGGATTCATGCCAGGGGCCCTAAGTGCCATCATCAAGAGCTGGAACTTAACCCTGCAGGCCATGGCCACAAAGGCAGCCACAGGCCAAACCCAGACTTGGAAGGTGCTGACCTTCCAGGGCTTTTTTGGCCTGCATGGTGTTTTTTAAAACATGAGTCGGCCGGGCGCGGTGGCTCACGCCTGTAATGCCAGCACTCTGGGAGGCCGAGGTGGGTGGATCACGAGGTCAGGAGTTCAAGCCCAGCCTGGCCAAGATGGTGAAACCCCGTCTCTATTAAAAATACAAAAATTAGCTGGGCACGGTGGCAGGCGCCTGTAGTCCCAGCTACTCTGGAGGCTGAGGCAAGAGAATCGCTTGAACTCGGAGGGTGGAGGTTACAGTGAGCCAAGATCGGGCCACTGCACTCCAGCCTGGGCAACAGAGTGAGACTCCGTCTCAAAAACAAACAAACAAAAAAAAACAAACCATGAGTCAAAAATGAAAAATAAGAGATATTTCACATCAAAATCCCGATGTCTGGCTTCTCTTGAAAAATGGAAAGATCTGGAAACGGTCAGTGTGAACTATCTAGGAGCCACTCCCTCTAGATAGGATATCCCGTCTCCAGGGCATCACAGTCCCCTACTCCTGGTGTCCCTCTGGCCTGGAAGTCGAGCGTCGATCACCATTTACCATGGGGCTTGCATGCTTTTTTTCTAATAAAGGTGACTTGGAACCACATCTCTGTTAAAATCAAACATAGACCAAGTGGGCTGCCTTGTGATTTTAGCTGAACGAGTCTGTTTCTTGTGTCTGTGTAACCTGTGTATCCCTGTAGGCAGCGGAGTTTGAAGCCCTGCCAGGGAGTCATGAAGGAGTTTCTCAGGATTTATAGTTGCAGACGGCAGAATCCACTGCAGCCAGTTTAAGCCAAAAGAAAAAAGGGTAGTGGGAGGTTATTCAGGGGTCCAGAGACCTCAAAGAACAGTGCCTCCAGGAATGGTTCCCAAGCTCTCCTGCCAGATCTGGAAGCTGCCTCCCAGCTGCTGGCTCAGGATCATGCTCTGTCCCCACCCAATTCTGCCGAGTCCGAATCTCACTGAGACACCTCTGATGGGTGGACCGTAAATCACACCTGCATCCTAGCAGCCAAGGCAGCAGGGAAATGTGCAGTGAGTGCTGGAAGGTGGGGCTTGCGCTGTGGAAAGCATCCAGGTGTGGAGAGGGTGACCAAAAGCTGCAGACGACCACTCCAAGCTCTGGAAAGGGAGGTAGCTTTGGTGTCTGGGGGTGTCACCAGCAGGGATCTAGCCACGCCACTCACTTTGCACCCTGGGGTAGTCCCGGAGCAGGACCTTCACACCGCCAGAAGGCTCCTGAGCACACAGTGCCAGGCCCAGCTCAGAGAGAAGGTCACCCCCAGTCTCCCAGCAGCCTCAGAGCCTGGGATGGTCCCTGGCTGGCTAGTCAGCCAGGCCTCCAGCAGCCTCCCGCAGCTGTGCCCACCCTCTAGCCAAGTGGCTTTGCTTGGCTTTTGCGTGCCTTCCTCCTGGCCTGGCCCTGCCGGCTGACTGCCCGGGCTGCCGGTCAGGACAGCTGTGTCACTATTTCGGAACTCTTTGTTCTCTTTGTGGAATTCAGAGGAAGCCTGTGCCAGCTAGGAGACTGGGCTCAGCTATTTCCCAGCAGCTGATAACAGCTGGGATTAAAAGATGAAAAACTCTGCACATGGCCCAGCCCTGCCTGTAACCCAGAAGCCAGGCGCATGTGTCTAAACTCAGGCGCCCTATGGTGTTTACTCCTGCCCCACCCTCCTGTCGGTGGCTGCCTCTGTCCTCAGAGCCTCGCCCTCCCTGCTCCGCACCCTGCCCCGAGGGCCGCGGATTCCTTGGGGACCATTTACAGGGCTCTGAGGCACCTGGCCGGGTGCCTGCTATGCAGGGCATCATATGAGCCTCACAACAATCCAGAAGACAAGTGCCATGTTATGCCCAGTTTACAGATGGGGAAACTGAGCCTCAGGGAGTGTAGGTGGCTTGCCCAGGGCCATGCAGCAGGTGACTGGAGAGCTGGGACCCACCCAGGTGTGTTTGGCCTCAAAGCCTCCACCTTCCATGACCTCACTTTCCTCTGATTTGTAGGCGCTGCAACTGCCTCTGCCAGATATACCCAGAAGGGTCATTTCTGCCTTCCAGGAGGTTCCTTTGACACAGAGCCACCCACAAGCCGCCCAAGCCAGTACCCCAGAAGGGAACATAGCATGACAGCGGAGGCAGTGCCTCTGCCAGCTTGCAACTTGGGGCCAGTCACTCCTTTTGTACTGGGCATTCGTGTTCTCATTTCACTTATTCAGCCAATACTTATGAAGCTCCTACTGTATGCCAGGCACTGGGAAATAAGAGAGACGAGGTTTATCCGGCTGAGAAGTCTGCATTCTAGCAGAATGGAAACATGCAATGAGCCAGGACAGGATGTGACAGAGTGAAGGCGGAGCTTGTTCAGTAGGACTGCCAGTGGGTGCCTCTTTGATGAAGTGACACTGAGCTGAGACCTGAGTGACAAGAAGTAGCCAGGCTGGGGAGTGGGCAGGGCTTCCCAGGCACAGAGCCCACCTGCCCTGAAAGAGGATTGTGCAGCTGGGGTGAAAGAGCAGAGAGGAGGTCCTAGTGGTTCACTGGGTAGAGGGACCTGAAATGAGAACAGAGACGTGTCAAGGGACAGATCAGACAGGGCCACACAGGCCAAGGTGAGGTGGCTGGATCTTTTTTTTTTTTTTTCTTGAGAGAGGGTCTCACTCTGTCACCCAGGCTGGAGGGCAGTGGTGCAATCTCGGCTCACTGCAACCTCAAACTCCTCAGCTCCAGCTATCCTTCTGCCTCAGCCTCCAAAGTAGCTGAGACTACAGGTGCACACCATATATGTACATATATAGTATTTTTTTGTAGAGACGAGGTCTCACCATGTTGCCCAAGTTGGTCTTGAGCTCCTGGCCTCAAGTCATCCTCCCGCCTCGGCCTGTGAACTACTGGGATTACAGGCATGGGCCACAGCGCTCAGCCATAGCTCGATCTGCACCCGTGTGCAGAGGGAGGCTTCAGACGGCTTGACCCAGTCAGGAGGGAGTAACACCACACAGGGTTGCTGTGAGGACTGAGCACCAAATAAACTGAAAGAGGTCAAAGCCGACAGAATACAGTGCGTGTGTGAGTTGAGCCTTCATAAATGGGCAGGAGACCCTAGGCCCTTCTTCTGCAGGGAGGGCAGCAGTCCCAGGGTCCCAGGGGCCCAGGCTTTTCAGGGGAAAAGCCTGCAGGGAGCATCTCTCCCCCCTGAATACTCTCCCTCCTGGGACCTTCCAGCCAGAGGACGCTACCCAGGCCTCCGCCGCCTGGATCTTTCAACTGATGGCGCCATAGTCACAGGGGATGAGGACACCAGGGAGCAGGCCACTGGTAGCTTCCATGTGAGCCTTTCTTTCTTCTTTTTTTTTTTTTTTTGAGACAGAATCTCACTGTGTCATCCACGCTGGAGTGCAGTGGCGCAATCTCGGCTCACTGCAACCTCCGCCTCCCGGGTTCAAGTAGTTCTCCTGCCTCAGCCTCCTGAGTAGCTGGGACTACAGACTCCTACCAGCACGCCTGGCTAATTTTTGTATTTTTAGTAGAGATGGGGTTTCTCTATGTTAGCCAGGCTGGTCTCGCACTCCTGACCTCATGATCCGCCTGCCTCGGCCTCCCGGTCCTGGGATTACAGGCGTGAGCCACTGGGCCCAGCCATGTGTGAGCCTTTCATCCTGCATCCAAGTGTGGGTGGACTGCGATGGCCCAGAGAGAATCTTGAGGGGACAGGTGTGACTCGGGGTCCCTAAGAGCCTGGTGGGTGCGGGGCGTTTTTGGACTTCCCTTGGCCCTACTTCTGGCTGAGAAAACAGTGGCCATTCCTGGTGGGGGTGGGTAGGCATGGGTGCTTTTTGGGGTCTGTGGACTATCTGCCTCCTGGCTGGCAGGGGGAGCCTGGGGCCTGGCTTGTGGAGAGTCTAGGGCTGGCTGACAGACTTGAGGCCCCACTCTCTTCATCTGGCTGGGATGCAGTGGGAACTGGGGCCCCGTCCAGTTGTCTGAGCAATGGAAGCCGACTCGGGTGAATTCGAAAGTCAGACAAAGCGGATTTCCATGTTGGCTGGGTCATCTGCAGAAGAAATCAGATACAGTAGTTTTCACCTGGGAATAAATTTGTTTCACGAAATTTGGAAATCAATTTGGCAGTGAACTTTCTAGCAGGCTATGGGGGACAGTGAGCAGAAAATCCAGCTGACACTTGAAACCTGAAATTGGCCACCTGGAGGGGGGCTTTCTGCCTGACAAAGGGGCTTTGAGCTGCCAGAGCTGACAGTGCTCGTTGGCTGGGGAGCCTGAGGTCTGATCCAGCACCCCCAAAGCTAGAGCCTCCCGGGGTTGGCTGTGTTCGTGCCCATTTCTGTATCGGCAGGTAGCCCTCATTGTCTGCTTCTCAGCATTCTTATTGTTGCTGGTGTTTCCTTTCCTGACCTCTCTGCCCTTCTGGAAGTAGTGAAAATGAATTTGTACATTCAGTCTCCACCCTTAACTACCAGGCTCCTCTTATTTTTCTAATAGACCCCTTGCGTTACCTCTATAACCGTCTAGAACTAACGTTGACGGGGGTTGGTTTAGGTTGTGTGTCGGCACCAAACAGTACATTGTCATCTTTTTTTTCGAGTAATTAGTTGAGCATGCACCCCCTTAAACGAAAGACTTCAGTAGAGGCTTGAACACAAAATGACTCCTTCCTTTCTGAAGCATAGTTTTGAGGGAAAGCCTTACTTTATACTCAGCCATAATGCTAACAGCTGCTCCCTAAGAAAGCCATGAATAGACCCATTTCACAGGTGGGAAAACTAAGGCCCAGAGCCGTTGAGTTACCCAAGTTCGTGGGAATAGCCTATGAAAGAGTCAGGATTTGTACCTGGGTCTCTCTTTACCAGGCTGCTCTGCGCTAAGAAGGTGGCCGTGGACTTTGGTTTTGTTCCTCTAGTGGAGACTGGCCTGGCTAGTGTTAGAAAGGCCCCTTGGATGAGGATCAGGGAGAGGCTGGATGGAAAGAGCAGAGCCTGGGGGAAGGGAGGCCCAGAGGTGAAAACGCAGTGGGGCGTGTGGACAGGGACAGGGGGGATGAGGAACAGGAAATTCAGTGGGGACGTGTGGGAGTGGATGGCAGGAAGGATGGCCCCAGACATTCGCCGTGGCAGAGGAGGAACCCTTGGCCAAAGGGCAGAGGGGCCGCCCTGCCCTCCGCACCCAGGCAGGGAGGCTGGGTCTGCCAGCTCCCAGGGTTCTTGGTTGGACCGTGCCGCTCTCCACAGGATCCAGAGCCCAGGCCTGGCCAGAGCCTGGAATTGGGCACGCACAGTCTCTGCTCTGCAGGCAAGGTCCTCGTTGTCAGTCCTTCAGCCCTAGCTGGGAAAGCGAGGTGCTGAGACACAGCAGGGCTTGCCGGGGTCCTTTGAGCACTCAGTTTCCCACACAGGGAGAGCAGCTTGTCTGCCAGGACTGTTCGGGTAGCTCTGAGCTGTGTGGGGCGCAGGGAGAGTCCTGACCCCAAATAGTCGGACCTAGGTCCTGAACACCCAGGAGGCCTTCAGAGGGGAGCAGGTAGCCCAGTGGTTGGTGCTGTCCTGAGGGCCACATGCACTGTCTGCACCCCTGGACAGAGGGTGCAGAGGGCCACGTGCACTGTCTGCCAGTGTTCAGACTCCAGCACGTGGGCTCTGCTGCGCCTCACCCCTCCAGTCGCCTGAGCCCCGGTCTCCTCCACCGCAGAGTGGACCTGGCAACACCGGCCCCCCAGGACTGCTGTAGGAATCACTAAGGGAGTGGCGAGTCTGAACCAGCCCATTCCAGAAGACCATTCCTGGCAGATAAGGTCTCCAAGGCCCTGGAGTGGCCATGAAGTCTGATCTACCCCAGGTGGCTGCCTCACTGGTTCTGGGAGACAGGGAGAGGTGGGCAGGTTTTCCATAGGTGTTTTCCGTAGCCCCTTCTGTACCCAGAATTGTTCCCAGGCATCAGCGCCCGTTTCCCGACACCCAGGGCACCTGCACGTGTCTCTAATAGCGTTTCCCACACTGTGCTGTAATTGGCTGTTTGCATCTTATCTCCCAGATTATTGTGAGCTACTCAAGGGCAGGAACTGGGATGCACTCACCGAAGTATCCCAGTACCTTGCACAGAGTGGGTCATTAGTACATCTTTGATGGATGGCTGGTCAGAAAGACGAATGAACAAAGATTGCTAATTTAATGGATGGATGAATGGATGAACCAATATGCAAATGGATATTTGATTGTCTGGATGAATAAAGTCATTCATTCACCCCCGAATAAGAATTGAGTCATTTTTGGCCCGGTGCAGTGGCTCACGCCTGTAATCCCGGCACTTTGGGAGGCCAAGGTGGGCGGATCACGAAGTCAGGAGTTCGAGACCAGCCTGACCAGCATGGTGAAACCCCGTCTCTACTAAAAATACGAAAATTAGCCAGGCGTGGTGGCAGGCGCCTGTAGTCCCAGCTACCCAGGAGGCTGAGGCAGGAGAATTGCTTGAACCCAGGAGGCAGAGGTTGCAGTGAGCCGAAATCGCGCCACTGCACTCCAGCCTGGGTGACAGAGCGAGACTCCGTCTCAAAAACAATAAATAAACAAAAAGAATTGAGTCATTTTTCTAGGGCTGGAGAAATGGATGAATGATGAGGTGGGGGAACGTGAGTGGAGGGAAAAGAAAAAGGAGGTCTGAGGGAGGGAGAAGCAGATAGAATAACAGGTGAATAAATAAAGAGAGGACGAACTGGAGAGATGCCTGCGTGGACAGATGGCCAGGGCCCACATGTTCACGGTTTCTTCTCAGGGTGTCATGTCTGTGAGCCGAAGGAATTATTCCAAGGTCCCAGCAAGCTGGGGCTGGGAGTAAGAATCCACAAGCACTCTCGTTCGGTCTTTTTTTTTTTTTAAATGTTCTCTCTAAATAAACTTTGAATCCACTTCCAAGTATGTTTGGAAAGAGCAGCGATGGCTTTCATGGAGGGTAAATTATAAGTGCTTCAGTCAGAGCTGTGTTTAGGGACGTTCAGAAATACACGCATTCCCCAGAGCCAGTGCTAAAGTGCGTAGGAGACAAGAAACATATGCTGGCTATGGGGCCGTCAAGCAGGCTTGCCGCGAGCACGTGTGCTTCACTGTTGATGGAGTATTCGGCAAGTGTTCCAGAAAGAGATCTTTCCTGAAATGGAGGTCAATGAGAATACTCCCCCGCTCATAAATCCTTGGGAAAAAAAATGGGCCTGTCTCCCACACACATGGAGCTTATTATCTGGGGTCTCGGGTGCTCCCTGGGGAGTGGTTAAGAGCCGTTTACTAGGGCTAGATCCACTCAAGTGGTTTCCAACAGCCCTGGCTAGAAAGACCCCGGCGGCTCACCCTTGGTTCATAAACTGGCATTTCCCACCGCAGTGGACAGACTGGGCAGGCACAAGCGCAGGCACGACAGTTAAAAAGGGAAAAAGGCCACATGCTCTCCATTCCCAGTGCACGGCAAACATCAGACCCAGGCACAGGCCGCTGTGGACACCCTGGAATTGGGAGCCTCTTTGCATGGTCATTGGTGAATGTCCACCTTGGTCCTGTTTAGCAGGATTCTGCCTGGGCCTGGGCCACTCAGAGGACCTAGACCAAGCCAACACGGTCCCAGCTTTGGGGAGCTCGTGGTCTGGCAATGGGACTGATGGGCAGACGGCTCCATCCCAGTGTGCTAAGTAATCACTGTAGCAAGTGGATTCCCTGGCCCAAGAGTAAGCAGCTGGGAAGGCTAAGACATAAGTCCATGTCCTAGCTGGGTATTGTAGGATGAGTAGGAGTTTTCCTGGCCAAAAAAAAAAAGAGGGAGAAAGGATGTTGGAGACTTGAGTAGCACAGCTCAGGGGGTGTAGCATGTCCAGGCCAGGTGTCTGGCTAAAGGTGGGCTAGGAGTAACTCATGGAGGGCAAGTGGAGCTGGGCGGAACGGGCTGGAGAGGGAAGTCCAGGCTGGCCAGGGAGCGCTGTCCCAAAGACAGCGGGGAACCTGTGGATGCCTTTAAAGGGAAGTGGCATGATCCGATCTCTGGCCTAGAAGGATGGCCCTGACTAAAGGGTAGGGAATGAGAGGAAGGAGGCAAGAGAGGAAACGGGGCAGGCAGTGGGGAGGCAGCGACCCTGGAGCCTGGAGCCTGGGGAGACGCTGGTATTGGACCTGGAGGGGACAGAAGTTCAGCGTCTGGTTCTTTCTCTTCCTGACTGCGTGACTTTGAGCGGGTCACTCAGCCTCTTGGGGCTGCAGTGCACAGCTGCAAAGCTGGGAATAGTGATAGTGGCTGCTTCGCGAGGTGTTTGTGAGGTTCATGGTTAATATGCCTAAAATGCCCTGTAGGGCCAGCGTGCAGACAGTGATGTAGAAGCTCGGCTTTGCTGCCACTCGGATCTGGAGGGGTGGGCAGGAACTGTGGATGTGATGGGGCCACCTGCAACCCCCGCCGAGCTCCCAGGTAGGTGGCGATGCTGCTCACAGAGCCTGGGAACTCAGTCAGAGAGATTAGCGGGTGGGGAGAGGACCTTGGTTCTGGCCATTCGACCCATTTCCGTTAGAACTGGTGAGGCACTTCTGTCCCAGCTCATTGAATCCTGAGGCTGGGTGCGCGCTTGTGGCACGGACCACCTGGGGCGGAACCCCAGCCTTGTGGTGTGTGTGGCCTCGGGCCAGTGACTCGCCCTCCCTTGGTAGAGTGAGAAGGTGGTGGCTTCTGCCTGGGAGGTGGCTGTGAAAAGCAACGGAGCGACTTGCGTGACAGGGCTCAGAACAGGACTGGGCACTGCTCCGTAAGCACACCCCACGCAGCAGCGGTCGTGGTCATTGTAGTAGAAATCCTCGCCGGCGGTTGATGAACCCAGAATGGGTCTCCCTGGTTTTTGCAAACTCACAACTTGACTCCAGCCATCCTGAGCGCATAAAAGACAACACAGCACGGTGAAAAGCACATGAGGCTGGAAATATTTCGTAAAAGAGAAAATAATATTTAAAGACAGAGAAAAGGAAGCCACTTGGTTTTCAGAGTGTGTTTACCAGACCAGCCCGGCATAGCGTGTGAACTTGTTGAAAATGCAAATTCTCCAGCCCCACTGAATCTGAAACGGGGGTGGGGCCAAGCACCCCCTGCACCTTCCAGAGTAACCCCAGCCCTCGTGCCCCCAAAAGGGCCTCAGCCCACCCACACCCCTCACAGCACAGGACCTCAAGAGGGAAAGGAGCTGCTTGTGTCCAGGGCCGCCCAGGGACCTCTGACTGGACAATGGCATCTGAATAGATGGAGAGACCCCAGGCCGTCACATTTCTTTTTCTTTAAAAAAGAAAAGGCAAGTGCTTTGGAATTGAACACATCCGGGTTTTCATCCCAGCTCTGCCACATACCAGCTGTTCCAGCTGTGTGACTTGGGACATATCACTTCTCTGTGAGCCTCTTTTGCTTCATCTGCAAAGGAGGGTTGATGCTACCTCCTGGCAGGGCTGCACGGACTAGAAGAGCAGACATCTGGACAGCCCAGCACAGCGCATGGCTCATGGTAGGTCCACATGTGGGAGCCACCTCCCTGCTCCCTGCAGCGTTCCAGCGCCCTGCTCCAGGGAGAAGGGTCTTCCGAAGAGCTCTAGAAGCAGCCAAGGTGACGGTGGCATCTCTCTAGTGCAGAAGCCCAGGCTTGCACTGGATGCAGGACCTGGGACCTGCAGGATGGGGCTGCCACTCCCAGCAGGGGCTCCCAGCTTCCCAGCAGATCCCCCTTAGCCTCTCCCCAGGAAGGACCCTCTGCGGTTAGCCCAACCCCACTCAAAGCAGCACAGGACCTAGGGAGGAAATGAAAGGGACTGCTTGTGTCTGGGGAGACCAAGAACTCTCTGACCACACTATAGCATCTGAATGGATGAGAAACAGCCCCATGCAGTCCCCAGGGTCCCCACAGAGTAGGGGCCTTGGGGACTGGGGATCAGAGCAGGGAGATCAGTTACCACAGGGCCCTTTGTGGGCAATGAAATGGGTCTGGAAAGGGCAAGAGCTCAGGACCACGGACATTCCCTGTGCATCCACCCTTTGCCAAGCCCCAGAGACAGGCCAGCGAGGGCCCTGCCCTCCAGGACCACAGGGCATGGTGAGGACCATTTGGGTCTGATAACCACACACAGCTGGGCTGCCCTCACCCCCAGGCTCAGGAGCCCCTTCTGCTGCCCCAGATCCAGGCCCCTGCCCACTTGCGACCCCCTACTCCTACAGCGCCACATGCCACCCCACATCCTCCACCCCGTCCTGCTTAGCCTCCCTCCGAAAGAGCCAAGTTTCCAGACACCAGGAAGGGCCCTGCAGATGGAGACTGGCTCTGCAAGGGCATGAGCACCCCTGAGCTGCCAGGGACAGCATGTCCTCGAGTGGACCCACTGGGGGCACAGCCCACCGAGCTATCCGCCTGTCCCCAGCCTGCCTTCCCATGCTGCGTTGTGGTGCATGCCTGTGTTGGGAGTGTTGCTGCGCATGGAACCCCAGGGACAGGGCTGACCCAACTCCCGGTCCCTAGTGCCTGCAGGGCCTCCCGTGGGTGTCCCTGGAATGACCACATGAGTGACAGGCCCTGGGATTGGGTACAAATGCCCATTTTGAGACGGAGGAAAGTGAGGTGTGAGAAGTTTAATGTCTGCGGTTACCTCGGCTCATCTTCACATGACCTGGAGAGGGGTCAGGGACCCCCAGGCAGGAGCCAGCTCGTTTGGCAGCCCCCAGGCAGGAGCCAGCTCGTTCCAGGTCACACTCACAGAAGCAGCGCGCAAATCCAGATCTTTCCCCTTTGGGAAATGGCCTTTGGGATGGTAGGGATTCTGCCTCTCCTGTTCACAAGGGAACAGATGAAAATGATCTTTTGAGGCCACATGCAGCGGCTCATGCCACCAACACTTTGGGAGACCAAGGCAGGTGGATCACTTGAGGCCAGGAGTTCAAGACCAGCCTGACCAACATGGCGAAACCCCGTCTCTACTAAAATACAAAAAAAATAGGCGTGGGCCAGGTGCGGTGGCTCACGCTTGTAATCCCAGCACTTTGGGAGGCTGAGGCAGGCGGATCACGAGGTCAGGAGTTCAAGAACAGCCTGGCCAACACAGTGAAATCCCGTCTCTGCTAAAAATAGAAAAAATTAACTGGGCGTGCTGGCGGGTGCCTATAGTCCCAGCTACTTGGGAGGCTGAGGCAGGAGAATCGCTTGAACTCAGGAGGCGGAGGTTGCAGTGAGCTGAGATCACACCACTGCACTTCAGCCTGGGTGACAGAGCAAGACTCCGTCTCAAAAAAAAAAAAAAGTTAAAAATTAAAAAATAGTCAGGCGTGGTGGTGCACACCTGTAATCCCAGCTACTTGGGAGGCTGAGGCAGAAGAATCACTTGAACCTAAGAGGTAGAGGCTGCAGTGAGCCAAGATCGTGCCACTGTACTCCGGCCTGGGTGACAGAGTAAACGTAGTCTATCCATGCAACAGAGTATGATTCAGCCTTAAAAAGGAAGGCTACGGGGCCGGGCGCGGTGGCTCACGCCTGTAATCCCAGCACTTTGGGAGGCTGAGGCGGGTGGATCACAAGGTCGGGAGATAGAGACCATCCTGGCTAACACAGTGAAACCCCATCTCTACTAAAAATACAAAAAATTAGCCAGGCATGGTGGCAGGTGCCTGTAGTCCCAGCTACTCGGGAGGCTGAGGCAGGAGAATGGCGTGAACCTGGGAGGCGGAGCTTGCAGTGAGCCGAGATCGTGCCACTGCACTCCAGCCTGGGCAACAGAGCGAGACTGCATCTCCAAAAAAAAAAAAAAAAAAAAAAAAAAGGGAAGGTGACCTCGTCATCACAGGTTATAACATGGATGGACCTTGAGGACACCATGCTCAGGGAAACAAGACAGTCACAGGACAAATGCTGCTGAGCTCCGCTTGTATGAGATACCCAGAGTCATCAGATTCAGAGGCAGAAAATAGGATGTGGTTGCTAGTAGCCATGGGGAGAGAGGATAAGGAGGTAGTGTTTAATGGGCAGAGAATTTCAGTTTTGCAAGATGAGGAAAGCTTTGGAGAGGGATGGTGCTGGTGGCCGCACAACAGCGTGACTGTGCTTGATGCCGCTCAACCGTCCACTCAAGAATGGTTAAGATGGGACCTTTCATGCTATGTATTCTACCACAGTTTTTACAGAATAGTTTAGAAATTTACAAATACAGTGTAATCTTCCAAAAACCACTGGATGAACTGTATGGTATGTGAATCATATCTTAATAAAGCTGTTTTTAAAATCCTGCTGCCCAAAACACAGCTGGACACACTGTGGCTGCCCTCTCAGGGCAAGGACAAAGAACCACCTATGGCTGAGCGCACAGCCTGCCCACACCCCACCTCTGGAGTGCGCAGGAGGCAGGATCCAGCTCTGGGCCCATGCGACCTCCAGGCCCACAGAAGGCCCCCACAGCGGAGAGCTGTGGCTTTAGAGGGAAAGGAGGGTGTGAGACACCGGGAGGCACCTTCTGCTGACAAGGGCCAGGCACATCAGACCCGGCCCAACAGCTGAAACTCTTTGGCGGAAGCCGGGCCTCAGCCCTGGCCCTGGGGGTCAAAAAGAAGTCATGAATCACCCCAAGTCCCCTGGGGTGCGAGGCAAGGATGCGTGGGAACTGGGCGGGCCTTGTAGCCTCATAGGCCAGGATTTGGGAGCAGCTCCTCAAGCCCCCCAATCTTTCACCCTCGGGCTCCTCCAAAGCTGTGGTCTGCAAACTGCACAGCTGGCGCGGCTTCCTCAGACCTCAGCATCCTGCAGAGCTGGGCAGCTGAGGGGCCAGGCGTGGGGGCCGCGTGGGACCTGCTCTGAGAATGAGGTGAGGGGACGCAGGGCTGTGTCTACCTGTGCACAACCTGGCTACACACTGCCTGGGGTCATAAGGGCCTCATCAGTGCCCACTTCTTCCCGATTCAGGTGGCTCTGTGCCAGCGAGGCCAACCATTGTTCCGGCCTGGGGACCCAACACCTTGGGGTCCCCACTAATGGCCCCACTCAGGGGCTGCAGCCACGAGCCAGCGTACAGGAGCCCTGCCCTCAGGGAGCTGATGTTCCAGCAAGAAGAGAGAAACCATAAACTCTGAAAAGCACATAGAATAAGCTAGGCAATTTTCATAGAAATAAGTGTCTGGAAGAAGATAAAAGAGGAAAATGTGACAACAAATGCATGAGGCAGGCACTTGAAAATTGAGGCTGGTGGTCAGGGAAGGCATCCCGAGGAGGCGGCAAGCATTCAGCCATGCAGGAATGGGC
Source organism: Homo sapiens (assembly GCF_000001405.40). Taxonomy (NCBI): domain Eukaryota; kingdom Metazoa; phylum Chordata; class Mammalia; order Primates; family Hominidae; genus Homo; species Homo sapiens. Next base: position 178,320,011 of record NC_000005.10, on the reverse strand, counting down.
AGAGGAGAGCCCTGGACAGAGGGAAGCTGGTGCAGAGGCCCCAAGGCAGGGCAAGCCTGGCAGGCCTGAGGAGTGACGGAGGGGCATGCGGCCGGGTGCAGGGAAGCAGTGGGCAGATAGGGCGGGGGAGGCCTCCCTTCTTACAGATGCCCTCGGAGTGACCCGCAGTTCCAGTTTGCCTAAGACTGACCTGATTTCAGCACTGAGAGCCCAGGGAAACCCCTCAGTCCCCAGCAAACCGTGACAGTCGGTCAACCCAGTGCCCACTCAAGCTCCAGGAGACGTGGAAGTTAAAACTGGGCCATGCCGGGCTGCTGCACTCTTCCCTCAGGAGGGCGCTGGTCCACGGTTCCGAGGAACCCCGAGAGTTCCCTGTCCAAGGCCTGCAAGGGTCAGCTCGGCTGGGAGCGGACGGCGCATGTTGCATGCCCAGCTTCTCCTGGCAAGTGCCTGCCAAAGGCCTTGCCCACGCCCACCGGCCATGCCCCAGGCCTCACCTGCCCACCTAGAACCTCTGAGTAGGATAGGGTGGGGCTTTTAGCAGGCAGGTTACAAGGAATTCTCATGAAAATCAAAGCTCACACGAATGACCTTTTAAGTTTAAAAAAAAAAATAGAGCTTTTCATTCTCTGAAAGCAATAAATCCTGGCCTTCGTTAAGTTCAGAGGAGTACATGTGTCAGTGATTAAGACTCGGGGTGAATGGAGAGTTGAGGAATTTGTGATCTTTGGGGTGTGCTGGTTTACATGCGCCTCTCTGGAGCCTGTTTTCCAACAGGAAACAAGATCCCAGGAGATGACAGGCTCTGGGGCAAAGCTTACTTGCGCTAGCACAGATCTGGGTCTGACCAAGCCCAAAGCCACAGGCCACCAGCCCATGTAGCAAGAGCCATATCCCCAGCCCCCCACCCACCGCTGGCCACCCAGCACCGACACAGCCTGCACCATGGCTGTACCTGCCGCCTGTGAGGGTACCAGCAGTCCTGCTGCCAGCGTTGGCAACATGCTTCTTTGTAGCCAGCACCTGCCTTCACCTGGCTACAGGCTCTTTAAGTATTCAGGTTCACCTGACCTCCACCCTTGAGAGCCCCTTTCCTTTTTTTTTTTTTTGG